>NW_025791814.1:340259-510389 GCF_000001405.40 Homo sapiens | reverse complement strand
GGTGGAAGGATTGCTTGAGCTCAGGAGGTGATGGCTGCAGTGAGCTGAGATGATACCACTGCACCACAGCCTGGATAATACAGCCAGACCTTATCTCAAAAAAAAAAACCATAAACCATTTTTAATTTATCTGAGAAACTGACCTATGCATGATGTGTAGTTACTGCAGAAAATGACCAAGAAATTATCTTTACAATTTAAATATGTAAAGCTCAAAAGCAATGAAGCTAAGACTCCTGGAAATTCTGACTGAAATAAACTAAAGGATGTTTCAACTGAACCTGAGAAAAATAAGCAATAAAAGTTGATTATTTGGCATTTTAGTCTTTTTTCAAAGATAAAAATCACATTCTTTCTAGTGGAATCACATCACATGCAGAAATAGCCCATAGAAGAGTCTAACGGTGGCAGGAGGTGTACTGAGTTACCCACCGGGAAGGTGCAATGAGGCACTCTCAGCTCTACTTTTTTTTTTTTTTTAAAGTAAAAGACCAGAAATTTTATTATCTTAGGGAAATTATAGAATCCACTTACGATGATCATTTACATTTTACCTTTATGCTCCAACTTGTTTTATCAGCCAATTAAAATTGAACAGCGAAAAATATCTTTAAAAGTTACATTTTCAAAGGGAAAAAAACATTTTTGCCCTCTTAAACTAACACTGATATTTGATCTCAATGTTGGCCCTTTCTGTTCAACTGAAGCTTTACCGGTAAAAATTAGAGGTTACAGATAGGACATTGTTTTGTGCTGACATAATGGGGAATGACTGATCATGAATTTTTTTTCTTGAGGTGAAAATTGTTATTGTTAGTGATTTGAACAGTCCCTTTAAAAATTAGTGATTAAGAAATAACAGAGTATTCTAAAACACTGAATCTGGGAAGAATTGATATGTGTCATAGAATATAGTGATAAATATTGGTTATTAATGTGAGGAAATAAGACAGCCTTTTTAGGGGAAGTTTGTAGAATATTTTATTGCTTTGTAGTCTAATATTTTTGTGCTTTTATTGAAACATTTTAAACTGAGGCAAAAGTTTATACTTTCATAAGCTAGAGATGTGCAACAAAAAGTTAATATTCCCTTAATTTGTCACATTCTAAGGGAAATGTAATGATCCAAGAAAATCTTCTGTGTTCGGTATATACCAATTATATGACAACTTCGTTGCTGTAAGATAAATGCATGATCTAAAAAAAAGTTTATGAGGTTAGATTTGCTAAGTATATATTTATTGTATAGCATAAGGACTAAAAACCCTTAATGTAGGCTAGTCAAAAAATTAAAACAGCTTGGACCCTTAATTGACACACACACACACACACACACACACACACACACACGCAGACGCACGCACCCATTTTTAGCCTTTTCATTAAGTTTCTTCAGGTGGGGGAAAAAAAAAACTGTTTAAGGACTTTGTCTGTGTGGTTGGGTTGCTTTCATTGTCTTTTAACCAAGCCACTGTTTTCCTCTATTTCAGGATCTAGATTTCTCATCACATCCACGGGAGCCTTGTATATTAAAGATGTACAGAATGAAGATGGATTGTATAACTACCGCTGCATCACGCGGCATCGATACACCGGAGAGACGAGGCAGAGCAACAGCGCCAGACTTTTTGTATCAGGTAAAAACTTATCAAGACTCTGTCTGCTATGTCTGCTATTTCTTTGTTAGTGTCCTGAGACGACTCAATCAAAATTGTGGAGTGTTGCCACTAAAATGGAGCCTTCAATTCCTTTTCCAAAATATTTTAGGAATTTTAAAACTCTTTTAAATGAATATGAGTACAATTTCATAGAAATACAGATTTCACATTTGTCAAACCAGTAATTGACACATTCACATAATGATGCGTTAGCATTTCAGGGAGCACATTAGGAGTGAAAGATCCATCTCCATCCCAAATATCCATCTCAAATGCAGTCAAATTGCATTTGATTTGATTATAAAACCAAATACAAAATACCCAACCTTTGCCTTTGTAGCTGAAGAATATAAAATTGCCCCCCTGTGGTAAATATCCTATAAGGTTGTAATAGTGAGATGGAAGTGACCAAAGGTTGCTTGCTATCAATATTTGAGAAGTACCTTATTTGTAATAATGCTTTATGGGAAGAAGTGAAGGGAACTTGTTGAACATTGGAATAATTTAAAACATCACTGCCTGAGCACCCACTTTTTGTCCTTGATAATGTACTGTTGGGATTTTTCTCTTCATCACTTACATCTTCAAAATAGCCAATAGTCTTTCAAGGTCCAGCACAAATACAAGTCAGAATTAAATTAGTTTTCCTTTGAACTTGCAAGTATTTTTGTTTCTTTATCTGTTCTTTTACAAGTCAATTGCTATTTTCTCCCTTGCTTTTATAGTTATCATGTCTTTTGGGGGAAAAATGAATTAGAAAATGAATAATAACTATCATCTTAGTCCATGATAGCTTTAAGGAGAGCACAATATTCTGCTTATTCAGAAAATCCTAGAAAACGTCCTCTTTGTGTTAAAGAGAAATTTTCTAATGGCATGTTCAGAAAAGAAAGGGGAAGGATTCGAGGTAGGAGGGGGATCCTGATATAAAATTAATTTGGGATTCGCAAAATTAGTAAATAAGCATTTCTCCCTCCAAATGATGACATAAGTGGTGATGATCTAAGAGCCCGTCTTTCTGTTTCAGGTGACCTTTTTTATCTTCATGCTGAATCATCAAGTGTTGATTTTTAAATGTATCTCTCAGGGTTGGAAAGGCAAGTTTACTTTCCTTAATCCCACGATGTTTGTTCATTTTTTGTTTTGGAGTGATTCACTAATGTTTCAAAAATGGACAGAAGTAGTCACAAGCATTTTGTCACCATGGGAGTCCTAGGATTGCCTAGTGAGCATTGGAAAAGTGAGAGCAACAATGTATAATCCAGCCAGGGAATATCATACACTAAGCCACCTGCCGAAAAGTAGCCAAGGAATAAGACTGAGCATTCAGGACTAACAGTATAGATGAAGACAGGGAGGTGATAGATGCCAGGAGAAGGGAGGGGTCCACAGAGTCACATGCCACAAAAAGGCTCATATGAGAGTCTACCATATGTGGAAAATAACTCAATATTTTTTGTCATTGAAATTTTAATAAAGCAGTTGAGGAAGAAATTTGTTAATGCTAAAAGATGAGACTGTAGACACTGAATACAGAATGCATTTCTAACATGTCAAGCTTTGAAGGAAAAGAGAAATTAATTTCATTTTAAATTAGATTTAAATATACTGAAAAATGTACATCTGGAGTTTGGGTCATGGTGGAAACATGTTGGTGTTTGACCCCAAACTCCTCCTGAAACCAACACAGATAAAATAGGATGACAAAGAAAAAAGTACATGGATGGCACCTTCAACACAACTGGATTACTGGCAACAACAGGACCAGCAGCAGAGGTGGAAGGCAGTAGAAGGGGTCAGCCTGTTGGGTTTATGGTAGTGTCAGAAAACTGCAAATAACCAACGGGTCCCCATCTCCAAAAGCAGAGGAGAATTCTTTGTGTCTTAGAGTCCTCACAACACTGGGATAGAACTGCATGAGGTCTAGGTTGGAGATGAGTCACAAGGCCATTAGAGTGGCTGGTAATGTTTGCACAGGCCAGTGATGGTCTATGTCCTTGAAGATAGTGGAAGTACTCAGCAAGTACTCCTTTCAGAAGAACAGAGACTCACTCTCAGGGGAACGGCTCAATTTAGAAATCAAATTGAGCCAGAGTAGAATACAAAGAGTAACAGAGAAGGCTCGGGAACCAGGGGAGGCCCTAGAGAATTCCATCCTATGAAATACTGCAAAAGAAAATACAACACGCACAGCCTTAGAATGTAAAAAACAGTGTTCTAGGAAACACATGGCCAGAAGTGGAAGCCCATACAGTTCAATCCCATATAGCTCTGAGAGATGGGCTAAATGTCGAGTCCTTGAAGGTAATATCAAGGGAGAAGACTGGAAAAATATACTCATTTCATCCTCTCCTGCAGGAACCTTCTCCTAATTAACTAAGAATCTCTATCTTATTGTAAAATGAAACAAAAAGGAAAAAGATTTAACCCAACACAACTTTATCACAAGAAAAAGAATGAAAATTTTTAAAAAAGTTTTGATTATAAGTAACTACAAAAAATACTGACAAATCATATGAAAACTATATTTTTTTGTTTGAAATGATTAAAGCTTTGAAAGAGCAGTATAAATCAGAAATAAAATGATGAAACAACACAAATCTGTGAAACAAAAAGTGGCATATTTTGGAAAAAGTTAGAAAAATGAAGAGTTCTAAAATTAAAATGAAATGACAGGGAACACATCAGAGGATAAACACAACAGAAAGCATAATATGGGAAATCAAAAATATTAAGGAATAAGACAAATAGAGTTAAAAATGTATAGATGTCTGACAAAGATGATGAAACACATGTATAACTAAATTCTCTTAAAAAGAAAGCCAAGCAATTGATGAGAATAAGTATTAATAATAAAACACTAATTCAAAAAAAGTCTCCTGTCATTAAAAAGAATGCATAATGACTACATATTAAAATGGCACAACCCTACCTGGAAAAATGGACCCAGAATGGTCAACATGCAACATAGTCTAATAAAATTTTTGAGCTGTAAAGATAAAGAAAAATATCATTTAGACAGCCAGAAAATAAGTTCAAGTTACTTCTAAGGGAGAATATAAACAGACTAATGAAATAGAAAATAGACCAAAAGAACAGTAAATGTAATAAACAAGTTTTTTCTTTAAAAAAAAAGTCAGTAAAATAGACAAACTGACCTAATATTTTTTAAAATGGTCTTGATTTCTGTGCTAGGGCTAGTTATTTGGACAAGTCATTCTTTCTCTGAGGATAACTAGAAAGACTTGTTAAATGTGTAAAAAACATCTGCTCATGGCTGTTAGGAGCTAGAGTGAAAACTTACAGGACCAAATTCCAGAGGAAAACAGCCACAAGAAGTGAGTTTGGTATTGAGGACTGCCTTTTCAGTAGGGACAGTTTTAGAGGAGATTGCTGAAACTCCGAGAAGATGAGCAACTCTTCTGAAAGGTTAGTAGTGTCTAGAAGGTAAAAATTGGAGTCTAGTCTCTATATATGTATTAGGGTTCTTTAGGGGGACAGAATTAATAGGATAGATGTATATATAAAGTAGAGTTTATTAAGGAGTAATGACTCACGTGATCACAAGGTAAAGTCCCACAATAGGCCGTCTGCAAGCTGAGGAGAAAGAAAGTCAGTCTAATTCCCAAAACCTTCAAAGTAGGGAAGCCAACAGTGCACCCTTCAGTCTGTGGTCGAAGGTCCAAGCGTCTAAAAGTTGAAGAACTTGGAGTCTGATGCTCAAGGGCAGGAAGCATCCAGCACGGGAGAAAGATGTAGGCTGGAGGACTAAGCCAGTCTAGTCTTTCCATGTTCCTCTGCCTGCTTTTATCCTAGCCATACTGGCAGTTGATTAATGGTGCCCACCCAGATTGAGGGTGGGTCTGCCTCTCCCAGTTCACTGACTCAAATGTTAATCTCCTTTGGTGACACCCTCACAGACACACCCAGGAACAATACTTTGCATCCTTCAATCCAATTAAGTTGACACTCAATATTAATCATCACATTAAATATATTTGTTTATATATTATATATTATAGATACTCATTTTTATTTATAGTAGCATATATAGTGGGATAAGTGAAAAGTGATTATGTTTATGTTATTTTTATTTTTATTTTCAGTATAAGAGAAAAATAAAAGTATGAAATTCTTTTATAATTCTTGAAAATTTATAGAAATTCTTGAAATATAACAAAAATGTAAGGCATTTATACAACTGAAATAATTATTTCTAAATACTTTACATATGTACTTTTTATCCTAAGCTCTAAGAGAACAGATGTGCCTTAGTGTGTATATATATGTATGTGTGTATATATATATATATATATGTATATATACTAGTGTGTGTATATATATATATGTATATATACTACTGTGTGTGTATATATATATATATATACACTTTTTTTTAATTGTACTTTAAGTTTTAGGGTACACGTGCATAACGTACAGGTATGTTACATATGTATATATGTGCCATGTTGGTGTGCTGCACCCATTAACTCGTCATTTAACATTAGGTATATCTCCCAGTGCTATCCCTCCCCCCTCCCCCCATCCCACAACAGGCCCCGGTGTGTGATGTTCCCCTTCCTGTGTCCATGTGTTCTCATTGTTCAATTCCCACCTATGAGTGAGAACATGCGGTGTTTGGTTTTTTGTCCTTGCGACAGTTTGCTGAGAATGATGGTTTCCAGCTTCATCTATGTCCCTACAAAGGACATGAACTCATCATTTTTTATGGCTGCATAGTATTCCATGGTGTATATGTGCCACTTTTTCTTAATCCAGTCTATCATTGTTGGGCATTTGGGTTGGTTCCAAGTCTTTGCTATTGTGAATAATGCCTCAATAAACATACGTGTGCATGTGTCTTTATAGCAGCATGATTTATATTACTTTGGGTATATACCCAGTAATGGGATGGCTGGGTCAAATGGTATTTCTAGTTCTCGATCCCTGAGGAATCGCCACACTGACTTTCACAATGTTTGAACTAGTTTACAGTCCCACCAACAGTGTAAAAGTGTTCCTATTTCTCCACATCCTCTCCAGCACCTGTTGTTTCCTGACTTTTTAATGATCACCATTCTAACTGGTGTAAGATGGTATCTCATTGTGGTTTTGATTTGCATTTCTCTAATGGCCAGTGATGATGAGCATTTTTTCATGTGTCTTTTGGCTGCATAAATGTCTTCTTTTGAGAAGTGTCTGTTCATATCCTTTGCCCACTTGTTGATGGTGTTGTTTGTTTTTCTTGTAAATTTGTTTGAGTTCATTGTAGATTCTGGATATTAGCCCTTTGTCAGATGAGTAGATTGCAAAAATTTTCTCCTATTCTGTAGGTTGCCTGTTCACTCTGATGGTAGTTTCTTTTGCTGTGCAGAAGATCTTTAGTTTAATTAGATCCCATTTGTCAATTTTGGCTTTTGTTGGCATTGCTTTTGGTGTTTTAGACATGAAGTCCTTTCCCTAAATTTTAAAAAATGCATAAAATCCTTGAAATGTCAAATTCCAATAGAAACTATTGGTATTTGTGGTATGCGTGGTGGCTCACACCTGTAATCTCAGCACTTTGGGAGACCGAGGCAGGCAGACCACTTGAGGTCAGGAGTTCAAGACCAGCCTGGCTAACATGATGAAACCCCATCTCTACTAAAAATACAAAAATTACCCAGGTATAGTGGTGGGTGCCTGTAATCCCAGCTACTCAGGAGGCTGAGGCAGGAGAATTGCTTGAACTCAGGAGGCAGAGGTTGCAGTGAGCCAAGATGGCACCATTGCACTCCAGCCTGGTGACAAGAGTGAACTTCCATCTCAAAAAAAAAAAAAAAAAAGAACACAAAAAACTATTGGTACACACTTCAAAAAAAAAGTATGAATTTTCAGTCTTTCCACTGAGAAGTCCCAGAAGTGATGAGCAAACAATAGCAACAAGCCCCTCTAACATCTAGATTGTAGATTCTTTTAAATATAATTCACTACTAAAAGGGACCATGGCTTCTTGGAGGAGTGGCTGATTGAAGGTCTGAGGCAGGAAATGTCTGAGGTGAGTCTGAAACATGAATGGGGTCTTGTCAAAATGACATAGGAATCAACATAAAGCGGCTCTCGTCAGCCAAAGGGGATGAATTGAGTATCAGCAGTGATGCTTGCACATGATTGATAACCATTAAATATTTTGAAAACCTTTGAGTTCATTTTAATTTTATACATACATGTGTGTGTATATATAGATATATACACATATGTACATATATACTTACATATGCACACCTGCATATATATTTCATATAAAGAAAGAAAGAAGAATCTTATTGGTCTGCATAGTAGAAACCAGGGCACTAACTCTTCATTCTGATAACAGATGATTAAAGACAACAACCACTAAATGTATTGTCTTTCCTATAGCTGCTGTATTTTAAGATAACCAAATAACCTTAGTTCAGAAGGGAAAGTTCATTCTGCAGAATAATTATATCTACTGAATGCGAACGAAATGACACAATTAGAAAATTCCATTTTCAACCTTAGCAAAATAGCTCAGATAAATTTTAACATCTGACCTCACTGAACAATTGAGTGTCACTAAGAACGGGAAAACCATACATTTTGTGGAAGCAATGTGAAGTGCACAGCACCCCTCTCAAAGAGAGAGAGGTTGAACACTTATCTAACCAACCCACTGAAATAAATTCCAGTTCATAAGAAAAATGCCTATGGCAATAACGGAACAAGTTAAATGATGACATGGACAAGCAAATTCAGCATGGTAACTACCTGGTTTCTTTTTTTTTATTATTATTATACTTTAAGTTTTAGGGTACATATGCTGCTATAAAGACACATGCACACGTATGTTTATTGCGGCACTATTCACAATAGCAAAGACTTGGAACCAACCCAAATGTCCAACAATGATAGACTGGATTAAGAAAACGTGGCACATATACACCATGGAATACTATGCAGCCATAAAAAATGATGAGTTCATGTCCTTTGTAGGGACATGGATGAAATTGGAAATCATCATTCTCAGTAAACTATCGCAAGGACAAAAAACCAAACACCGCATGTTCTCACTCATAGATGGGAATTGAACAATGAGAACACATGGACACAGGAGGGGGAACATCATACCTGGTTTCTTTAAAAAGCCAAGTCAAATACATGGGAGAAAGGAGGAGGGCTAGCTCTGCATTAAGAAACACTCAAGAGATGTAACAACTGCATGTGAGCAAGAGAAGGATCTTGATTTAATTAATTCAATTGTTTAAAAGCTAGCCACTTTTGAGCTGATGAGGAAAAATGAATTGGGAGTGTATAATACTTGATATTATGTAATACTGACTGTGGTTATGTAACAAAACCGTATTTTTATTAGGGAAACATGCTAGTCATGTAATGATAAAATGACATAGCTTCCCTTTTTTGTTTTTTGTTGTTGTTTGTTTGTTTGTTTGTTTGTTTTTGAGATGGAGTCTCACTCTGTTGCCACACTGGAGTGCAGTGGTACAATCTCAGCTCACTTCGATCTCTGCCTCCCGGGTTCAAGTGATTCCCCTGCCTCAGCCTCCTGAGTAGCTGGGACTACAGGCATGCACCACCACACCCAGCTAATTTTTTGTGTTTTAGTAGAGACAGGGTTTCACCATGTTGGCCAGGATGGGCTCGATCTCCTGACCTTGTGATCCCCCTGCCTCGGCCTCCCAAAGTGCTGGGATTACAGGCGTGAGCCGCTGCACCCAGCCTATAGTTTCCCTTTTGTTGCATATACTTTACCACCAAAAACAAAGTAAAACTATCAAGAAATAAACATGACGAAAAATAGAAAAGGTTTGGTGCCAGAGCCATTAATATGATGAATATATGGGATGCGTCATATTATTTTTGTCTACTTTTCTGTACGTTTTCAAATGTTTGGGGTAAAAATAATTTTTGTAATATATATATATATATAAAAGTTTGAAGACTTTGAGACAAAAAAAAATTTGAAGGGGATGAAAATGAAAGACAATGCCGTTCGGTTATTCAGATTTGATATATGACCAAATATCCCCACAAGAGCCTGTCTCAAGCATTGCTTCAATCATGCACTTAAAATATAAAACATCAGATGCTGTGAGGGTGCAGAGAAAAGGGAACACTTATACACTACTGGTGGTAAAGTAACTTAGTCCTGCCATTGTGGAAAGCAGACTGGAGATTTCTCAAAGAACTTAAAATAGAGCTACCATTTGACCCAGCAATCCCATTACTGAGTAATATATCCAAAAGAAAATAAATCATTCTTCCAAAAAGACATATGCACTTGTATGTTCATCGCTGGGCTATTCACAATAGCAAAGACATGAAATCAGCCCAGGTGTCCATCAATGGTAGATTGGATAAATAAAATGTGGTACATATACACCATGGTATACTGGAAAGCCATAAAAAAGAATGAAATCTCATTCTTTGCAGCAATGTGGATGGAGCTGGAGGCCATAATTCTTAGTAAATTAACATAGGAACAGAAAACCAAGTACCTCATGTTCTCACTTATAAGTAAGAGCTAAATATTGACCACACATGGACACAAATACAGGAACAATAGACACTGTGGACACTAGACTGTGGAAGGCAGAGAGTTTAGGTTAAAAAGCTACCTATCAAGGGCCAGGCACAGTGGCTCACACCTGTAATCCCAGCACTTTGGGAGGCCTAGATGGGCGGATCACAAGGTCAGGAGATAGAGACCATCCTGGCTAACACGGTGAAACCCCGCCTCTAGTAAAAATACAAAAAAAATTAGCCGGGCGTGGTGGTAGGCGCCTGTAGTCCCAGCTACTCGGGAGGCTAAGGCAGGAGAATGGTGTGAACCCCGGGAGGCAGAGCTTGCAGTGAGCTAAGATCACGCCACTGCACTCTAGCGTGGGCAACTGAGCGAGACTCTGTCTCAAAAAAAAAAAAAAAAAAAAAAAAAAGACTACCTATGAAGTACCATGCTCACTACCTGAGGAACAGGATCTCTACTCCAAACCTCAGCATCACGTAATATTCCCATGTAACAAATCTGCACATATACCGCCTATATCTAAAATAAAAGTTGAAATAAAAAAATAAATACCTCATTCAGGTTTCGTAAAACAGTTTTGTTGAGAGGTAGTTTACTTTAATATAAACTCCATCCGGTTTATTCAATTCAATAATTTTAGTAAATGCATGGAGTCGTGCCACAATTACGCCAATTTAATTTTAGAATATTTTCACCACCCAAAAGATTCCTCCTACCCGTTTGAAGCCAATTTCAATGTCCATCCCCAGTCCCAGACAACCACTAATCTATGGTCTGTCTCTGTAGAGTTGCATTTTCTGGATATTTCACATAAATTGATATATGGATTTTGTGTCTGCCTTCTTTCATGCAGCACCCATGTTGTTACATGTATTAGTCATTCATTCTCTCTTGTTGCTGGAGAGCATTTGCTCATCTGTAAATACTGCATTTGGTTATCAATTCACTAAATTATGAATATTTGGGTTGTTTCCACTTTTTGATTATGAATAATCCTGCTATGGACATTTGTACCTAAGTCTTTGAGTGAACATGTTTTCATTCATTTAGGGTAGATACCTAGAACTTGGGGCCTTATGGCAAATTGAAGTTTAAACACTTTAAGAAAATGCCAACTTGTTTTGGCTGCTTTTATTTGGCAAGTATACCACAATACACCTGGGGAAAAAATAAACTCTAGCCAATGTGATGTAAGAGGAGAAAAATGTGTGGGTTTGTAGGAAATTCTGCTTAAAAGTGACTTCACTGAGGGGGCATTCTTAAGCATTTTTGCTGTGATGTGGATGTGAAGGCTGGCACTCCAGCAAGCCATTTTTACGTGAGATGTATATGTGTGCATATGTAAGTATATATTACCTTCCACCAACGATGTATGAAGATTCCAGGTCCCCATATCTTCACCAGCATTGTTTGTGATTTTATTGCAGTCATCCTAATGGGTGTGAAGTCATGTCTTACTGTGATTTTAATTCATATTACCCTAATGCCTAGTAATATTGAGCATCTTTTTGTGTACTGATTAGGTATTTGTGTATCTTCTTTGGTGATGTAAAATAGTCAACTATTTTGCCCATTTTGATTGGGTTGTTTCTTTTCATTATAGAGATATAAGCATTTTTAATATTTTTTGGATTTGAGTTCTTTATTAGAAATATGATTTTCAATTTTTTTTCACTTTCTAAATGGTGCCTTTGAAAATGCTACAGTTCTTAATTTTTTTTTTTTTTTTTCGAGATGGAGTCTTGCTTTGTTGCCCAGGCTGGAATGCAGTGGCATGATCTTGGCTCACTGCAACCTCCGCTTCCCGGGTTCAAGCTATTATCCTGCCTCTGCCTGTAGCTGGGATTACAGGCTCATGCCACCACACCTGGCTAATTTTTGTATTTTTAGTAGAGACGGGGTTCCACCATGTTGGCCAGGCTCGTCTTGAACTCTTCACCTCATGTGATCTGCCTGCCTCGGCCTCCCAGAGTGCTGGGATTACAGGCGTGAGTCACCGCACTGGGCCAGTTCTTAATTTTGAAGAAGTTTATTATGTTGATTTTTTCTGTTTTTGCTTGTTTTCTTAGTGTTATGCCTAAGAACTCTTCAAGGTCATGAAGATATTTTCCCTATGTTTTCTTCTAAAAGTTTTTATAGTTTTAGCTGTTATATTTAGGCCATAATCCATTTTGAGTTAATTTTTGTAGGTAGTGTGAGGCAAGGTTCTAAATTATTTTCCATGTGGATATCCAGTTGTCTCAGCCATTTTTTAAAAATGTCATTAGAATTACATAGCACTATCTTAAGCATATTTGAGAAATTTCTGCCAAGTTTCAGTTAGAATAAAACTTTTTAAGTGCAGTCATTGAGAGTTGATTTTTTATGAATAGCATTAGAAGTTGGTGCATTTCATTTTCAGAGATTGTGGGATTATTCTGCAAAGAAAGTCAGAGGTGCACACTGTGGTGTTTATTGTCAGCCACCCCTGCCAAAGGGGTGACATCTTTGTGCCACCTTCTCCAACTCTACTTCTACTTCCTACTCTAAGTAAAATGACAGATTTTGCAGCTATTTTTTCATAGTACTTTCTAATATCTTCAATATTCCACTCTAGTGTAACTAAAATCTGTATTACTGAAGAACGAGAGCTATCATTATATTCTCACATTTTTTGTTTTTGTTTTTTTTTATTATACTTTAAGTTTTAGGGTACATGTGCACAACGTGCAGGTTCGTTACATATATATACATGTGCCATGTTGTTGTGCTGCACCCATTAACTCGTTATTTAACATTAGGTATATCTCCTAATGCTATCTCTCCCCCCTCCCCGCACCCCACAACAGGCCCTGGTGTGTGATGTTCCCCTTCCTGTGTCCAATTCTCACATTTCTTAATTAAATGAAGACAGAGTTCAGAATAATAGAGAAGCTTACCCCAAGTAATACATATTATCTTGGATGTGATTTCTACTTACTAAACAATATTGCAATGGTGTTTATATGGTCTGCAAGTTAGTGTACTAGGAATTAAAAAATCCCATGTGGTTAAGGATGTCCAGGACCATTTCTGGAGCTGGCTTTAGGCACAACTTTGTGTCTTCTAGTTCACTGAACCCATTGGGTGTGCAGGTGATGATACTTCCAGTAACATGGATGCAGACAGCTAACCATTTTTCTGGATTCTTGGTTCATGCTAGAAGATGCCAGAGATCAGTGAGACATCATTGGTTAGGCCTGTCTCCACTTAATTATTCAGTCTATGGGAACATAACTTGATCTTCAAACCAATACTTTTCAAAGTCCGTTTGTAATTTCCTTTAGAAGCAGGTAAATGAAGCAATGAAGTTTTTGCTGGCACAGGCTCTGTACCTGGGTATTGTGAAACTTTTATATCTCTCTTGCCTTCTGGAGCCCTATAGTCATGCATATGAATGACTGTAATTCTGGAATATAGAATTCTTCAGTTAATGAAGAATTAGAGGAGTCCTGGAAGCTCATCAAGTATTCTTTAAAAGAGTATTTAGGTTCCCTCATTATATCACTGTCATAAGACACCAGTGAAGTAAAAAGAGCAGCAAGTTCATAATGAAGTTTTATCTCTGATGATCACAAAAGAAATAGAAAGCCAAGACATTTCAGCTAAATGTTTTTGTTCTATTTTCAACAGTGCCTGCTGACTGCCCTCAGTGGCTGACTACGGAATCACAGCCTCTTAAAGAAGTCTTCCTACTAATAAATGATTTTTTGATGTTATTGTTTATTAAAACAGAAATTTACTCTCTTGTATATAAGTCCAGAAGCTGGTTTGCCAGCTTCAGTTTCACAAGGGACCAGGCTTTTATCTTTCTGATCCATTATCCTCACGTGCAGTTCCATTCTCAATATGATTTCAAAGTCCAAAGTGATTGCTGCAGCTCCTACCTTTATATCCACCTTCCAGGTGATGTAAAGAAGCAAAGGAAAAATGCATAAAAACACCCCTCCCAGCTAAGTCGCCTTTAAGCAGAATTTCCTACAAATCCACACATTTTCGCCTGTTACATCTCCTTGGCTAGAGTTTATTTTTCCTCCAGGTTAATTGAGGTATTGAAAAATGAAAATTGTATATATTTAAGGTATACAATGTGATGTACAATGTGCATATATATATATATATATATCACTATCAAGCAAAATAACATATCTATTGCCTCACATAGTTAACATTTGTGTGTGTATGTATGTATGTGTGTGTATGTGATGACAATGTTTAAGATCAACTGTCTTTGCAAATTTCAAGTATGTAAGATAGTGTTATTAACTGTAGTCACTGTGCTGCATAGTAAACCTCTAGAATCTATTCATCTGGCATAACTGAAGCTTTGTACCCTTTTACCTACCATATGATCTAGCAATCCCACTCTGGGTATATATCCAAAGGAAATGAAATTACATATCTGCACTCCCATGTTTATTGCAGAATCATTCGCAACAGCCAGAATATGAAAAAAACTTAAGTGTTGATATACATATACACACATGCATAGGAATATCATTCCTATATACACAAAGGAATATTATTCAGCCTTAAAAAAGGAAGCAAATCTTCCCATTTGCAATGACATGGATGAACCTGAAGGGCATTGTGCTTAGTGAAGTAAGCCACGCACAGAAAGACAAACACTGTCTTTTCTCACATACATGTGAAATCTAAAAAAGTCAAACTCAGAGAAGCAGGGAATAGAGATGTTCGTCAAAATTACAAAGTTCCAGATGGCTCTCATTTGATAGGACAGTGAATATCCATTCCTTGGCCATCAGATTTATTGCAGGTAGATCAAAAGAGTCATGGCATTTTTCTCACTGAGGCAAAGACAAGAAAATTTCAGGTAGCAGGAGTCTATAACGTTTCTGTAATATCCATGTGGAATGCAAGGGTATTGTTTCATGCAAGTTCTAAACAGGTTGAATTAGAAGAGAGAGCAGGGTGAGAACACTGAGTTTTACGTTTAGCATCCAATCAGGTGCTGTATTTTATATTCTTCATAGTCATGCAAAGATTATGACCTTGGGAACATCACTCCATTCAAACAAACTTGAAGGACATTGAGCTGCGTGGTTTCCACAGACCCAGTTCTTGAGAATATTTTATCAATTTCCTCACCTGGTTCAAGATGATGTCACAGAACAGGAAAATTATACAAGGCCCTGTCATAAGTGATCATTTGCAAGCTGCTGCTTTTTAATCCATTGTCTTGCTACGCCACATGCTGTCGGTAGTGCTCATTCACCTTATCTCAAATACCATCTTCTCAGAGAGTCTGTCCCTGAGGACCATATCTTGAGTCCTCCTGGCTGCCTCCACACCCATAGCACGTGGACTTCACTCTCTGTTATGCCCTCTTTTTCTTTCTTTAACTACACTTATTACAAACTAAATTATCTTTATTTGCTTGCTAATGTGTTGCTTGCTCCCCAACACCACCCGCCCAACAGAACATGAGCTCCAGGAAGACACCTGTCTCATCCACCACTCTCCCTTTAGTCCCTAACTCTGTGCTGGTCTACACTGAGGGATCAAAACATATTTGTGAAATGAATAAATAAAATGTTTTAAAATTCAAAAGCTATGTGTAAAACTCTTTTGTGCAATAAATTTTACTAAAGTTAAACAGCTATTTCTGCTTATGTTGCTCTTTTTTTTTTTTTTTTTTTTTTTTTGAGACAGAGTTTCTCTCTTTCACCCAGGCCGGACTGCAGTGGCGCTATCTCGGCTCACTGCAAGCTCTGCCTCCCAGGTTCATGCCATTCTCCTGCCTCAGCCTCCCGAGTAGCTGGGACTACAGGCGCCCGCCACCACACCCAGCTAATTTTTTGTATTTTTAGTAGAGACGGGGTTTCACCGTGTTAGCCGGGATGGTCTCGATCTCCTAACCTCGTGATCTGCCTGCCTTGGCCTCCCAAAGTGCTGGGATTACAGGCCTGAGCCACCATGCCCGGCCTAGTGTTGCTCTTTTTTTCTGTTTAAATTTATTTAGGCTGGGTGTGGTGGTGCATGCCTGTAATCCCAGCATGTTGGGAGGCCCAGGCAGGAGGATCACTTGAGCCCAGGAGTTTGAGACTGTGGTGAGCAATCATTGCACCACTGCACTCCAGCCTGAGCTACAGAGTGAGCCACTAACTTAAAAAATATTTATTTTATTAATTTTATGATATTTTATTGATGCATAATAGATATATAGTTTGGGGTACATGTGATAATTTAATGTATTCATATAATTTGTTAAAATCAAATCAGTGTACTTGGGATATCCATCACATTATATGTTTGGCTTTTCTTTAAGCTATAATTATTTCAATTCTTCTGTTTTAGCTATTTTGAAATATACAATACATAATTGCAAACCATAGTCATTCCACTGATCTGTCTACCACTAGGTCTTATTTCTTATCTCAAATTGCATATTTGTACCCATTAAGGATCTTTTAAAGAGAATTCTGACATTCCCAGTTATGAAAAGACAATCTGATTTTTGGCCTGAGCTGACAGCTCTTGTTGAAGCCTGCTCATTCTGGATCTTTTATTCATTTACTGAGGAATGACCAACAGAAGCTCTGACCAGTGTTCAACCTTTTGTAAATTCTGAGCAGAAAATAAATTGTATGAATAGGGCACTTCTTTTTCTGTTCACTTATAAAATCTTAAAGATCTGTATCAATAGTTGGTATGATGCACCGTATTTAAGTTATACATGAAGTCCTACAATTCTAAATGACCACTTCAACTCCTCATTCCTGCCTCTAAGAGTTTTTATTTCTTCTACAGACCCAGCGAACTCAGCCCCATCCATACTGGATGGGTTTGACCATCGCAAAGCCATGGCTGGGCAGCGTGTGGAGCTGCCTTGCAAAGCGCTCGGGCACCCTGAGCCAGATTACCGCTGGCTGAAGGACAACATGCCCCTGGAACTTTCAGGGAGGTTCCAGAAGACCGTGACGGGGCTGCTCATTGAGAACATTCGCCCCTCGGACTCAGGCAGCTATGTTTGTGAAGTGTCCAACAGATACGGAACTGCTAAGGTGATAGGCCGCCTGTACGTGAAACGTAAGTTGGACGGTAACTTGCAAAGGTGGTGTTGGCTTCCATCGATGGAGCTCCTGTTATAAGCAAATCTCCATGTTTTCTCTGTAGCTTTCCATTAACTCCCAAAACAGTCCAGCTGAGATCAACAGAAACCTCATTTTACAGATGTGAAAATTAATGCTCAGATGAATTCCCCAAGGTTACACAACTGGAGAGTCTTGGCTGTCGGATTTGATTTGAAATCTTTCTGATCCCCAAACCTCTGTGATTTCCATTAGGCCACAGACTATTACATTTCCAAGATATGATTTCAAGATAACACTTCCTAGCTGATGAATTCACAACAACCAGTCTCTCTAAAAATGAACAGAGAGAGAGGGTAGGATTGTTCTTTCAGCACAAGTGATGGTAGCCAATCAAAGCAGTTGTCCTTTGTCTGTTTCCAGACCATTTCTCCATTAAATTTCTAAATGAGGCTATTATCACCCAAAGTACGGGGCTCAAACATACCCAAATATTAGACTTGTGCCTAGTATTATAGATCATCTACTCCAAATATAATGGATTTATTTGATCTTCTATTGATTGCCTTGGCTGCCTTGAGGAATGTGTTCAGAAGGATACTGAAGGCAGATTTGGAGGAAGGAGGGATGTGATCGCAGGGTCACAATCTAATCTACTCAACCACCCTCAATTTTGCTCTTGCAGAAACCAAATTAAAGTGAATTACCCAAGATCACATGGCCAGAAAAGGGAGGCAGAGCATTGGTCAGAGAGGAGGTCTTAGTTGCCAATATAATGCTCCTTTTTTGAAAATATATTTTTATTTGATGAACTAAATTGAACAAATTTAACCACAAGAATCTCACAGTGACAATAGAAGTGTTTTCTTACTTCCTCCTCCCCACCCAGCCCTAACCCTGTTTATGGAACTTTCTCTTCAGTGTCAACCTGAGTGTAGACTGCCTTAGCGCAACACCAGCCTAAGAGAATATATTTATATTAAATATCCAAATGACTCTCTATCTGGAACAGGCTGTCCAGCCTGAATCCTGCAAATATTTGAATATGTTTAGTCTGGGATTAGAAAGAAATGGATGATAAAATCCACAGTCACACTTCTATAGCTGAAGAATCATGTGGATAAAATAATGCAGCATTGGACAGCCAGTAAGAATTATTCCCACGGGCTCAAAGTCTCTTCTGTGTTTAAAGACCTCTCCTAGCTCCCTGTTCTCCATTGAATAAAGTTTATATCTTAGGATAGTACTGAAGGCATCTCAAGCAAATCTGTCTGGTTGTATTTCCCATTGTTTTGCATTAAAACCCACTTATGACTAGTGTTCCATTATTGGAACACTAAGCATGTGGGAGTTATTTACATCCTACTGTGCAAGGTCATCACCAAGGTCTGATTGCAAAAATTCAAAAAAAATTGCAACCTCAGGCATAAATGGGTTAATAAAAACCTATTCCTGCTAAATCTAACTTCTTCCTAATCCCTGCACAAACCTATTCCTTTCCTGATTGCAAGTCACATTACTTATGTTGCTTCCTCCACATGGAAGATTATTTCCCAATACTTGGTTATCTAACACTTCCCAACTCTCTTAGCCTCCATCCACAAAGATGTGTTGTTCCCCATTCTCCTGTCTCCTTCTCAACTCAGAGTATGTTACTGCTTTCTCTCTAAAGGCGTTTATCACTACCTATATTTTAAAAGCCTTTATTCTTAATGTGCTTATTTTTATCATTGTTCCCTTCTTCCACATCTAGGTGATTCTCCAATGCTTCTGGAATATTCTCTGCCTCCCTTCTGACTGCTTCTTCTAACTGCAGAAGAAAACAGCTTCTTCGTTCCTATCTCTCTTCTCTATTGGAAGGCATTCTCTTGGGCTCCAAATTCAGAACTGTCTTCTTGTCAAGCTCTTCCCTTTTCCTTAGGCTCTGTTTCATTTGTAGAGCTTCGAATTCCTTGCCCCTGAAAATAAGCTCTGAATCTGTACTTACAGCCTTGGCGTCCTTCCTGAATGTCAGACAAGTGTGTCAACCAGCTTTCTTTCAGAAATTTAGTTGGCACTTCAAAACAACAGGGTCGGATACCAAACTGAACTCTCCACCACCTCTTCCTTCCAAATGGCTCTTGTTATTATTATCAACATCTTCCTCCTTCTCATCCCTCAGATGCAAACATGAAATGTTGGGTGCCCTTTAAGCCTTTCCTTTCTACATCCTGCCAAGTCCTGCCATGTCCTGCCAAGTCATACAAACTGAATCTCACAGTTACTCAGCTCTGTTCTCAACCTCTGTCCTGTCCTAGATTGGATCTTAATTGTACCTACACTAGACATGTGTAATGTCTTCAATGACGGGTTTTCCTCACCCTAATTTGTCAAAAGACCTATGACCTAGTGATTCCATTAAAAGTATGTTTGTGCTGGGTGTGATGGCTTGTGTCTGTAGTCCCAGCTACCCAGGAGGCTGAGGCAGAAAGGGAGAGGAGTTTCAGGCTACAGAAACTCCTCTGTATGATTGTGCCACTGCACTCCAGCCTAGGTGACAGAGCAAGGCCCCAATTCTAAAAAAAAAAAAAAAAAAAAAAAAAAAAGTATGACTTATTTGCTAAACACTTTTGAATGCCTTCTTTAGTTATCTTTGTTTAATTCCAAAATCTCAGGGACTCTCTGTTGCATCCAAAATGAATCAGAAATTCTCAGACATGCCCCTGCTCCCTGCCTTAATTCATGTGGTTCCCAATCTCTGTGATTCCCTCTTTCCATTCTGACTGATCTCAGTTCTATGCACCCTTGATATCTGTGGATTTCCTGCTCTTCCCATCCACCCTCCTCCACATGTGCTATGTCTCTAATGGCCCCTCCATCACTCTGGTTGGTTATTACAGCCATTTATTGCCTTTGTCTTATCAACCTAGAAGACTGAGCTCCTTGAAAACAAAGTGTGGTGAGATGAAAAGTTAGGAACAACTGGGGTAAAAAAAAGCTTTTTTTTCACCCACTTTTTGATGGGGTTGTTTGTTTTTTTCCTTGTAAATTTGTTTAAGTTCCTTGTAGACTCTGGATATTAGACCTTAGTCAGATGGATAGATTGCAAAAATTTTCTCCCATTCTGTAGGTTGCCTGTTCATTCTGATAGTTTCTTTTGCTGAGTAAGTAGAAGCTTATTAGTTTAATTAGATCCCATTTGTCAATTTTGGCTTTTGTTGCAATTGCTTTTGGTGTTTTAGTCATGAAGTCTTTGTCCATGCATATGTCCTGAATGGTATTGACTAGGTTTTCTTCTAGCGTTTCTATGGTTTTAGGTTTTACATTTAAGTCTTTAATCCATCTTGAGTTAATTTTCGTATAAGGTGTAAACAAACCTGTAGGTTCAGCGCATGTATCCCAGAACTTAAAGTGAAATAAATAATAATAATAATAATAGGAGAAGATTACCAGAATGGATTAAAAAGCAAATCTTAGCCATCTGCCATCTACAAGAGATGTTTGTTAATTTAAAAGATATATTTATATGTCTTCTGGCCTCCATTTGCTTCTGCTAAACAATCAGAGGTCATTCAGATCTTTGTTTCTCTGTATGTCATTTGCCATTTTTGCTGTCTGCTTTAAAGAATTTCTCTTTATTTTTCGTTTTCCATAATTTGTAATATGACTAGACAGGATTTTCATCAGATTTTCTCTGCTCAGCACTTTCTGACCTTTAAAAATCTGTAACTGTAGGTCTTTCACCAAAAATTTTGTTTTGTTTTGTTTTGATTTGCCATTTACCTGTTGATTGGATTTGGCTGAGTTATTTAAGCGCTCTCAATAACTATTTTCTGTTTTGTAAAATAGAGATAACACAAAAATTACAGGATTAGGAGAAGACTGACTTAAATGATGTATGAAAGATAGTCGATAATTTTATAGCACAAGCTAGCTGCACCACAAATATTATTCCATTTTTCTTGCCTGTGAGTTTAACCTCATCCTTGGCATATGACAGATGCTCAGTAAATGTTTTCTACATTGGATTAAGGTTGTTGAATTGAAAACATAGCAAGGCGAGGATGAGAGTTTCTTCCCTGTCTAAATCACTCAGCCCCATTTTAAAGAAAAACTCTGTTTCGTGGTCACAAATTCTAATACCAACCTGTTTTTGTTTTTTTTTTCCTCACAATTGTGTGTTATTGGCCCTGGGTAAACCACATATGTCATACATGTGTGTGAGAATGGCCCAGGGCAAACCCACCAGTGCCACCTTGGGACAAGGCAAATTAGGATTTATATGATCAATACTTAGGTCACTATTGGTAGCCAGCATGTTGCATTTCTTTTTTTTTTTTTTTTTTTGAGATGGAGTCTCACTCTGTCCCCCAAGCTAGAGTGCAGTGGCGCCATCTCAGCTCACTGCAAGCTCCTCTTCCCAGGTTCACACCATTCTCCTCCCTCAGCCTCCCAAGTACATGGGACTACAGGAGCCCGCCACCACGCCCGGCTAATTGTATTTTTAGTAGAGATGGGGTTTCACTGTGTTAGCCAGGATGGTCTCCATCTCCTGACCTCGTGATCCTCCCACTTTGGCCTCACAAAGTGCTGGGATTACAGGTGTGAGCCACCATGCCTGGCCTGTATCTCTTATTGTCAGTGGATTTATATCAACATCCTCACAGAGACTCCTGAGAAGGCAGTTTGACCAACATTATTGCATTTGTTGCAAAGAGAAATAAAGCCAGAAATAAAAAATAGCGAAGAGGATGTTCCCAAACAAAATGCTCCTCTGTGAAATAATGTGGCTGATACGAACTGCATGCAGTATGATAGCAAAAATGTGGCTGATAGGAACTGTGTGGAGTATGATTGCAATAATGTGGTTGATAGGAGCTGTGTGGAGTTTGATTGCAATAATGTGGCTGATAAGAACTGTTAGGAGTATGATTGCAATAATGTGGCTGATAGGAACTTTATGGGATATGACTGCAATAATGTGGCTGATAGGAACTGTGTGGGTATGATTGCAATAATGTGGCTGATAGGAACCGTATGGGGTATGATTGCAATAATGTGGCTGATAGGAACTCTCTAGGGTATGATTGCAATAATGTGGCTAATAGGAACTCTCTGGGGTATGATTGCAATAATGTGGCTGATACAAAATGTATGGGGTATGATTGCAATAATGTGGCTGATAGGAACTCTCTGGGGTATGATTGCAATAATGTGGCTGATAGGAACCGTATGGGGTATGATTGCAATAATGTGGCTGATAGGAACTGTGTGGGGTACGATTGCAATAATGTGGCTGATAGGAACTGTGTGGAGTATGATTGCAATAATGTGGCTGATGGGAACTGTGTGGAGTATGATTGCAATAATGTGGCTGATGGGAACTGTGTGGAGTATGATTGCAATAATGTGGCTGATGGGAACTGTGTGGAGTATGATTGCGTGATGCACTTGCTTTGTTGAAAGTCCAGCCTGTTGTCGAAATGCTATCTAGTGATGTTTTTATCTTTTTTCTCTCTCTCTTACTAAAACCTCCAGAGCCACTGAAAGCCACCATCAGTCCCAGGAAGGTTAAAAGCAGCGTGGGTAGCCAAGTTTCCTTGTCCTGCAGCGTGACAGGAACTGAGGACCAGGAACTCTCCTGGTACCGCAATGGTGAAATCCTCAACCCTGGAAAAAATGTGAGGATCACAGGGATCAACCACGAAAACCTTATAATGGATCACATGGTCAAAAGTGACGGGGGCGCATACCAGTGCTTTGTGCGCAAGGACAAGCTGTCCGCTCAAGACTATGTGCAGGTGGTCCTTGAAGGTCAGTGGGCCTCGTTTCAGGGTATGGCTGAAAAAGAACCCAAACCCAGAGCACTCAGAAAAGAAGAAGACAGGGTGAAGCAGTGCTGATCGCTCAGTTCTAGGCTCTCTGTCTCACCAGCTAGTACTCTACCCTAATTTTTCAAGCTAAATCAGGCAAATGGGAGAGAAAGTTCTGACGAAAATAAAATTGTTTCATATTAGAAGTAATGTAAAGTAACATAAATGTTGCCCACTTGTGCATTAGAAGTTATCTGCCAGGGTTTAAATCTTAGAAGAAACTTGACACTTAACAGTTTTGTTGATTATTCATCTCTAGACCAGGGTCTTTCAAGAATGCCTTGCTTGGGGAATTTTTTTTTTTTTTTTTTTGAGATGGAGTTTCACACTTGCTGCCCAGGCTGGAGTGCAGTGGCACAGTCTCAGCTCATCACAACCTCTGCCTCCCGGGTTCAAGCAATTCTCCTGCCTCAGCCTCCCGAGTAGCTGGGATTACAGGCATGCACCACCACACCTGGCTAATTTTGTATTTTTAGTAGAGATGGGGTTTCTCCATGTTGGTCAGGCTGGTCTCCAATTTCTGACCAGGTGATCTGCCCGCCTCGGCCCCCCAAAGTGCTGGGATTACAGGCATCTTGGGAAACTTTTTTATGTGTTATAGGATCTTTGGCAGCATCTCTGGCCCCTTTCCACTAGATGTATGCTAGGAGCACCTTCCTCCAAGTTGTTACAACCAAAAATGTCTCCAGACATTGCCAGGTGTTTGCTGGGTGGGGTGGGGGCAATAGCCTCCAGTGGAGAAGTACAACTTCAGATTGAAAATGCAGAGCAAAATGTCAGTACAGTGGTTGGTAGAATGAAAATATGGCATCTGTTTGGTGCAGTTGTCCCTAGTTCCATCCAAATGTTCTCAGATTTAAGTAAATGAAATTTGTGAGGAATTATTTTGTGGTATAATAACAGGTTTTGGATATGTGATACGATTTGCTTTTTTTTAACTGGTTACTGCATACTAAATCTTAAAGCTTATCAGTCAGCCAGAGAAAGAAGCTATCACAGGCAACATATATTTATCACTACCTGATTGAACTAGCTTCTATCTATGTATTTGTGTGTCTTGTTGGAAATTATGTCCATATATAATTTAAAATTCATCTGATATCAATTGATTAAAATAATAAAATGATTTTGATATAGCCTAAAGGGAGTACAAAGAAAACACACTAATATGTGAAAGTAAGTTTAAATATATCTTGATTATAAGACCATATTTCTGTCATTCTTTTTTAACCTTAGCTAATTTTTTAAGAAGTAGCAGGTTTAGCAATGAGATTCCTATTTTGATTCAATCGTTTCATTGCAGACAGTGAGATTTTTAAAGCAGAGGTGAAATTAGCTGAAGGCATGGTATTCATATTAAATGCCTGACACTGTGTTCCGTATAATAATTAAGTGCAGAAAGTAATCAATTTGTGCAGAACCAGTTTGCTAATGATGATGCACTCTAGTCCTTACATAGTCACTATTTTTAGATTCTTTGTAGAAAAAGGAGAAATTACCTGTCTAGGCCCAGTTACCCCGGCAACCATTTGGTGCAACTAAGAAAACCTAAAGACCATATTGATGATCCATAACGATGTCAGAAGAGTTCAGGTTATCAGAGTGACAGCAAGAAAGATTTCAAAGACACTCAGGTCTCCCTGGGAAAATAATGTCTGCTTTCATCTCCAAAAGAGCCTGTCACTTGAACTAAAAAGGGGGCCGAGGCGCACCGCCAGCACACTCGCAGATTTATTTGTCGCATGTCAGCTTCCATTCAGGACAAGAAGCTTCACTTTTTTTTTTCTCTCTTCTGAGAGATGACAGTGCTAATGTAGCAAAGAAAGCAGAAATGGAATTACAAATACATATCTAGTACCTGCTTTAAAAGAGTGTCTGGCTAATTTCCTCTGGAAAACAAAAACACTCCCATTATTCTCACTGAAATAGCGATGGATTAAAGTAAAATTATAAAAATTTGCAATACTGTGAACTAGGACTGAGGATAGATACAATGGAGAATCTGAGAATATTTCCTATGAGGCTATAAAATGGAATTTAATAATTATAAGTTCAGGATAAAACCATAATACCTGAAAAATGGAATGATTTTAAAAAAGAATAATAAAAGTTTCCAGTTCTGGGAATGGTAAAATAGCATATATCAGCCTAACTCCCAAGATGATAAAAACAAGAAACTTTGGGAAAAGCAAAAGTATATATAGACATTTGAGAGACACCAAAATCAAGTTGGGGAGTGTCCTCTTCCACTGAGGACACATCTGAACTCCAAAAATGGGGAGTGAGAATACAAATGTGCAATAAAAATGAGACATACAAAAAACAGGACTCTGCACCCAAAGGACAAAAGACAAAGCAAACGATAGAAACAAATCATGAGAGGACCCAGATGTTAGAACTGGCAAACAAGGACTTTACAGATGCTATTTAAAATATGTTCAATAACTTACAGGAAAATATGGACTGAAAGAGTGAACGTATGGGAAAGACCAACAGAGAAATTGAAACTGTAGAAAACAGTCTGTAGAAATGAAAAAAAATCACCATATTTGTTTAATACAAGATTAGAGAAGGAAGAAGAAAGTATCAGTGAACTTGAAGATAAATCTTAGAAAATTATTCAATCTGAAGCATGGAGAGAAAGAAGACTGCAAAGAAAATGATTAGAGCTTCAGTGACAAGTAGGACATCATCAGATAACGTGACACACACATATGACTAGAGGCCCAGAAAAATAGGAGATACGGAATGCAGAAGAAAAAAGTATTCAGAGATAATGACCTTAGTTTTATCGACTTTGGTATAAAAGTAAGGTTGCAGATCTAAGAAACTCAGCAAACTCCAAAAATAAACACAAAGAAAATTCTATGTCAGTACATCAGAGTTAAGCTGCTGAAAACCGAAGATAAAGAGAAAAACTTAAAAATCTGAGGGAGGAAAAATATTACATAATGAGGACATCAATAACAAATGGTAGATGATTCATCGGATATTTTGGAGGACAGGAGACAATGGAGCAACATCTTTAAAATGTTGAAAAGAAAACGAAAAACAAAGACACAGCCCTGCCAACGCAGACTTCTGTAGCAAAAAACCCAACAACAACAGGCTTTAAAAATTAAGGAAAAATAAAGATATTTTCAGTAATAAAGAGGTGAAAGAATATAATGTCAGCAGCCCTGCACATTAATAAATGATAAATGAAGTCATGCCGGATATAGAGAATGGACATTTATATCTACAGGATATAGATAACATGGAACAGAAATGGAACATAAAATGGAGACATATCTATAAGAACAAATACCATGAGAAATGGTAAATATATTAGTAAATATTTAGCAAAATTGTGTTTTCTTTTTTAATTTCTTTAAACAATTGATGATTATAACATTATAAAATTACCACACTTGGCCATGTGCTGTCGCTCACGCCTGTAATCCCAGCATTTTAGGAAGCCGAGACAGGCGGCTCACTCGAGGTCAGGAGTTTGAGACCAGCCTGGCCAACATGGCAAAATCCTGTCTCTGCTAAAAATACAAAAACTAGCCAGGTGTGGTGGCATGTGCCTGTAATCCCAGCTACAGGCAGAGGCAGGAGAACAGCTTGAACCCAGGAGGTGGAGGTTGCAGTGAGCCGAGATCCTGCTACTGCACTCCAGCCTGGGTGACAGAGTGAGACTCCATCTCTAAAAATAAAATAAAATAAAATAAATAAAATGAAATAAAATAATAAAATAAAAAATAAAATAAAATGAAATAAAATAATAATAAATAAAATAAAGTAAAATAAAATAACACTTTATTATAGAGTAAATATAATAGATGTAATAACACAAAGGGCAGAATTATTTGTTGCAGGGTTCTTACATTTCACATAAAGTACTGCAATCTTAACTTTTAGCAGAGATAATTTAAAACATATACACACACATTGATATACATATAGATTGTGTGTGTGTGTGTGTAAATCAATTGGAGCTTATCTTATAATGCAAGATTGGAAGAACATTAAAAATCTAATCCGTGTAAGTCACTATGTTAATAGAATAAGGGAGCAAATCCAATTGATTATCTCAATATATACAGAAAAAATCATTTGATGAAACTTGCATCCATTCAGCATAAAGAATTTCTAGCAAACTGAGACTCTAGAGAGCTTCCTTGACCTAATGAGTGGCATCCTGAACAATCTACAGCTAAAATCATACTTCCTGGTTAAACACTAAATGTTTTTCATTTAAGATTGAGACCAAATCAAGGATGCCCACATCCACCACTTCCATTCAACATTATACTAGCAGCCCTAGTTAGGCTTGAGTAGAAATAAAATGGATGGAGTTTGGAAAGGAAAAATTTCAGCTGTCTTAATTACAGGCATTGTTGTTTACAAAGAATATGCCAAGAAAACAATAAAGCAATTTCTAAAAGAGAGTTTAAAAAGTCATTGGATATAAGAATGATACACAAAATGCAATTTTATTTCTATATACTCAGAACAAACAATTGGAAACTAATATTTTGAAACTTTCATTTACAATAACATAAAACATAAGATAGGAATATATTTTAAACAAACGTGAAAGATTTCAACATACAAAAATACAAAACTCTGCTAATATAAAATTGAAATAACCTAAAAAATTGAAAAGATATACCATATTCAAGGATTAGAAAACTAAATATTCCTAAGTTAACAATTCTC
This sequence comes from Homo sapiens, assembly GCF_000001405.40. NCBI lineage: Eukaryota > Metazoa > Chordata > Mammalia > Primates > Hominidae > Homo > Homo sapiens. Next base: position 482,560 of record NW_025791814.1, on the reverse strand, counting down.
TCTAAAACGATTAATGTGATTTCAAGCAAAACTGAGGCATGGTGGCTTGTGCCTGTAATCCTAGCCCTTTGGGAGGCTGAGGCCCTTAGCCCAGGAGTTTGAGGCCAGCCTGGGAAACATGGCAAAACTTTGTCTCTACAAAAAAAAAAAAAAAAAAAAAAGGCGTGGTGTGCACCTGCAGTCCCAGCTACTTGGGAGATTGTGCCACACCAAGGACAACAGAGGGAGAGAGACACTGTCTCAAAAAAAAAAAAAAAATATATATATATATATATATATACACACACACACACACATATACACATACTATATGTACCTTTTCAACAAATTAACACTGAAACAACTCAATAAATGTATGGCAAAAAAATGAGTATTAATCCCTACATCACACTTCATATCCACACAAAATTAAGTTGCTATCCGTATAGAATTGAATATAAAGTATAAAGCAACACAGTCTCCAAAAGAAAACAGAATAATTCTTCATGATTTGCGAATAGGTGACGATTTCTTAGGACACAGAAAGCATTAAATGTCAACACAAATACATTATTAAGAAAAGAAAAAGGCAACCACAGACTGGGATAAAATATTTTATACACACACAAATATATGTGTCATATATATGTTGACAGATATTATATATAATCTCTATAGGAATCTTACAAATGTATCAGATCATTATAAGATATCTGACATAGATACTATATATATATTTCCTTGTATTTCAATTGTTGTATTCCACAACAAATCAAAAACAAAAAGGCAAACAGTCTAATATAACAATGGCCAAAGATTTGAGCAGACACCCACTAAAGGAAACACACGGATGGCCAATAGGCACATAAAACACGTGCCTTCCACGGTATTTCTGGGAAAAATATACAACCTGCGTTTAGTCATGAGGAAATATGAGACAAACCCAATTTCAGCAACTGACTACAAAATTACTCTTCAAAAATGTAAAAGTCAAGAAACACAAAAGAGGCTGAAGAATGTTCCAGATGAAAAGAGGCTGAAATGACATGAAACATAAATAATGGGTGATACGGACTGCTCTGGAAAAAAAACAGTGACGAGGGATATTAGCGGTCAATGGACAGAATTTTGCTGTGGACAGTGAGTTAGATAATAGTACTGTTCCAAAGTTACATCTTCTAATTATATTCTAAGTGTACTCTGATTATGATGATATATATGCACATATAAAGCGTGCATACTCTATTATTATGTTTCTTCTAAGCTCAAGCACAGGCAAAACCAGCACATCCTAAGAGGAATCAGAGCAGTGATCTCTGTTGGATGTGGATTTATTGAAAGGAGCACTTAAGGAATTTTGGTAATGGAAATGTTTTATATCTTGATCGTTTTTGTGGTTACTCTGGTGTGTATATATTTAGCAAAACTAAGCTGTACACTTAAGATCTGTATATTTCACTGTATGTAAAATTTACCTACAAAAAGAGAAGTATAACTGAAGAACATTTTTCTAAACACTTGAGTTTTCAGAGCTTAATGTAAAAACCAGTGAAAAGAAATCTACAGCTAAACACATTTTACAAAAACCATGGAATTATAAAGGACACGTGAAATAACTCCAGTACTCCTAAGTATTAATGACTGATCATGGACAATGAATAGCAATCATGATGACATCTAACTTCTCTGTAAAATTAAACACAGGATGTGATGAGGCAACGTCTGCAGTGCGTTAAAGACAAAAGCATCAATTTTTCATTTTAATATTTTAAAGTTGTCTTTTTCATCTCTGATAGTAAGAGACAAAATGCTTACAACCCAAGGACACTGCAATATGCTACTTATGAGCATAGCCTGGAGGAAACAAACTCCAGGGACTTCTCCAGCCACCTGAAACATGAGCTGGAATGAAGAAGTGAGATTCAGGAATTTGGAAAGGAGTAGGGGGTGGAGGGAAGAGCTGCAGCACAGCCCCATCACCATGAAGACCCTACATAACTGGCCTCCCTGACCAAGAACTAGGCCCCAAGGTTCTGGGGGAATGAGTGGCACTTTCCTCAAAGGTGTCTGGTACTATTAACCATTAACTGTCACCTTTCCCTGATGGAATTGCAAGCTATCCTAATTTTGCTTGCCTCCTTTCTTTTTGTTTATAATACTTTCCAATTTTCAACAAAAAAGATATTCAACAATGGAGATTCATTACTTTTATAATAAAATCAAAAACTAAAAAAAATCTACTCATTCTTATCTTTCATTATGGGACAACCCTTTAATTGAACACAAAAATTCTTTTAAAAAACAAAAGATGTCCCCTCCAGCAAGGTCTCTTACCAGACTCAGAAATCCTGTGGCATGTGATTGCAATTATGTCAAAATGACCCACTTATGCCTAGAAAAAATGTGTCACAGTGTTGATTTGTATGCCTGAGGCTGGCTGACCTATTGGTAACTTTTCTTCTGATTTTCATACATTTCCTTTAATATGCATGTATTTCTTTTTATAAATGGAAAAACATATATAAAAGAAACATGCATTTGTAACTATTACTATATAAGAGAAAAAACCATATGGATGATAGAAAAATAATGGAATATGAAAATTTGATCTATGTAAACATACTGAAAATTTCTATGGAGACTTCTCTAAGATTAAGATCCTAGTTTGCCTGCGATAGTTCTGGGTCATGCCTGTTCTCTTGGCATAATTATTAGTCCTTTCTGTTTCAGCCTCAAAAGTGTCCCAGGTTGGATGTTAAATTATATGGCCAGCCTACTTAAGATACTTTTAGAGAGATTTAAAACATGCTTAAGTACCCTACTTAAGATATCTTTAGAGGTTTTTAATACACGGCATTTAATACAAACTTTATTTAGCTTCTACCCATTCTCAGAGACTTCATGGAAGTTTGCATGCAATTACTATTTGTAATTAAAGTTATTAAAAGAGGATTTCTTATGAGAAAATGATGAAGATGAGGTCATCAATCTCTCAGTAGTTTCCTTTATTCCTGTAAAGAATTCCCTAGTGAGAAAACCCCAAATAACTTGAGGAAGTATTAGGTTGGTGCAAAAGTAATTGCTGTTTTTGCCATTACTTTTTGCAATCACTTTTGCACCAACCTAACAGATAAAGTGACTGTTTGTGGGAGTGAGCGGGTGTGGATTTTCCGTCTGTTTATAACTTTGTGTGAGGAAACACCAGTTTTAAATTAAGGACTTCTTAGGAGCTGTCATTGTTTAACCTGAACATCTGAGTTGTATTACCATTCCTCTTAAGTCAATCAGGAAATATAGAAACAGTTGATGAAAGCTTGCTAACACTGTGCTTACCTGTTTTGAAAACAGTGAACTCTTGTTCTGATTAACGTTTTGCTTTATCAGGAAAACCAGACCTTTTTGGTAATGTTTAACAACTACGACATTTACCCCCTAGACATGAAAGACATATACTTGGAAGTTGTTTAATTATTTGTATGTGCCACTTTCTTCCATAATTTGTTTTCCTGCAGATGGAACTCCCAAAATTATTTCTGCCTTTAGTGAAAAGGTGGTGAGTCCAGCAGAGCCGGTTTCCCTTATGTGCAACGTGAAGGGAACACCTTTGCCCACGATCACGTGGACCCTGGACGATGACCCGATTCTCAAGGGTGGCAGTCACCGCATCAGCCAGATGATCACGTCGGAGGGGAACGTGGTCAGCTACCTGAACATCTCCAGCTCCCAGGTCCGGGACGGGGGAGTCTACCGCTGCACTGCCAACAACTCGGCGGGAGTCGTCCTGTACCAGGCTCGAATAAACGTAAGAGGTGCTTGTCAAATCAGCTCCTCAAAAAAACACACATAACTCATTATAGTGGAGAAGAAGATTTCTGCATGCACCGAGCTGGGTCTTGGAATGCCAGAGCGGATTAACTGTTGCTTCCCATTTCCTACCCTCTCCTTCCTACTCAGGAATGGCACTGACTGGGTTAATGTTGGAAATGGCATTTTGGTTTCTGTAGTCAGCTTGTTCTTTTTTACTCTAGATCTGTTCACCTGATGTTTCCTTTCCTGGTTTATGCTCTGCATGCCCTTTCCCTTCTCCTTCTCTTCGGTTCTTCCACATTCATGGTAAACCTTCATGTACATGGTATTAAACTTACATTCATGCTGCAACGTGATGTAACCTCCATTGTCGTCCTAGATTTTACAGAGAGAGTTAAACAATTGATCAATTGCTGCCAGTGTGTTCACCAAAAGTGCGTGATTGTCCAGTATAGACTAGTTACTTTCTATTAATTAAATTGCCTTTTATCTTGTAATTTTTAATTCAAAACATTTTCATAGAAGTAGCAGATAAAGTGTTTCACAGTTATACATTTGAATTTAAGAAAAGGAAAGAAAAACCTTTGTTGTAGAAAATGCCACATGCAAAAATATTTGTTTAACTGAAAAAGATGTGCTTACATGAATATAATCTACATTTTTAACTCAAGGAAAAGTGTACCCATTTCCCTACATGAGATGTACCCTTAAATTATTTTCAAGAGTTTCTTTGTGTCTCTCCAGGGCCTGCAAGCATTCGACCAATGAAAAACATCACAGCAATAGCAGGACGGGACACATACATTCACTGTCGTGTGATTGGCTATCCGTATTACTCCATTAAATGGTACAAGAACTCTAACCTGCTTCCTTTCAACCACCGCCAAGTGGCATTTGAGAACAATGGAACTCTTAAACTTTCAGATGTGCAAAAGGAAGTGGACGAGGGGGAGTACACGTGCAACGTGTTGGTTCAACCACAACTCTCCACCAGCCAGAGCGTCCACGTGACCGTGAAAGGTAAGCCCTGTTCTCCTGGTTCCCACACAACTCATTCCATAGCCCGACTACTTCCCAGACCAATGATTTGAAGTCGGGTAATCCAAGATCTGCTTATTTAGAGCAGGATAATTGTACAGGCTGAAGAATGACAGGGAACATGAGATGTCCTCTTTACTACTGACTGAATCTTCACAGGAACTTTAGTTGATCTGATTTTCTCTCCAGGTGGAATTTTGGCTTGGTTTTCCAGAGGGCATGTGTTGTTAACAATACAACAGAAAAAAAAGGAGCACATCATTAGCTTCATTATCTAGTCATCTCTCAGATAATTTTTAAATAAATAACCTTCTTTTCCTAAAACCTCCTAAAAGCAAGGTCTCTTAGAACTTCACTGGAAGGGATTTTCTGTATTGGATGAGGATTTCAAACAAACGTCTTATCTTCTGTAGATGAGCAGGTCAAAGCAACAACATAGAAATTATATGTTTAAAGGATGCCACAGAACGTTTTCCTCATTAAATTATTCTTTGCATCATGACATGGACTGTCATGGAATCTACCTGTCAGGATGATCTTTAGAGATCCTGCAATTTGAATTGACTACAATCTCCTTACCAGAAAAAAACAATAAGGTGATCAGACTCATCCAAGGATACGCAGACTTTTAGTGGCAGAGCCTCAGAAAGACTCATTTCTTCTATTCTACAAGTCAGTTTCCTGAGCTGAATATGAAATAAAATTGTTTTAATTATGTAAGGAATCTACCTGAGGTGGGTCCTAGGAATAGAACTAATATGTTATAAAACTATTTCCGAAACCTGTGGGTGTTGCTTCTAGCCACATTGAGCTGCCTGTCTGAGGTGTCCAAGTTCTCTCTCCAGGAACCAATAAGTGGCTTTTAGTTGCCCTTGTTACAAAGTTGCATAGGTTTCCTGTGGTCTTCCCCAAGCTTCTTTTCCCACCAACCCTGTGAGTTTTACTTTTGTGAGAACGCATACAGACACACACACATGGAAATAATAATATGTGTATACTATTATTACGGGGCATATATATTGCATTACATTATATATTATAGAATATGTATTGTGCATTGTATATTAGATATGCCTGCACATAATTATAAATCGGTTTTTAATAACCATATGTCTTGAGAATTTCCTCAAATCACTAGATATTCTTGGTAAACCAGGCTGCATAAAGGTTCATTTGGTGGTTGTGTTTATTTATTTAATCCTCATTTACAGAACATCTGCTTCATGCCAGGCACTACTCTAGACACTGAGGAATACAACAATGAAAAAGGTCTGCAAGGTCCTTTCCTTCATTGACTCTCTTCTCAGTCAGGAGAGACAAACAATAAACAAATAAAACAAGTGAATAAACCAGAAAACACCTAATGGTACTCCATACTATGCAGAGAATTAAAACATGGCAGTATCTTAATGGTTCATTGCAATAGTCAGATGCCATATCAACACATTTTCTGTACTCTGTCATCTTAAAATTCATTGGTCTATCATACCCTTGGAAGGAATGTTTTACCCACACATGATTTTGTAACATAAAAAGTTGATCATTTGGAAATGATTGGTTCACTGTGTTACACAGATCTTCCAAATGTTGATACAATTTGTTATACAATATCAAAATATCACAACTACTAACATTACCATGATCTCATCAGAAAGTCTTCAAGTAAACTGTCAAGTTCATGCTGATGGATGCAAGTTTTCTAAAATTCTATTCTTTCTTGAAAGATTCAATTTTATTATTTATAATAAACACCATCAATTGTAATTGTAGGAGTGATGGGCTCATTTATCTGTAAGAAATTGTTTGACAAATAGAAAAGACCGCATAACCATCGTTTTTAGGTAGCCATTCTTTTAAGAAAGAAATGGAATTCCATGAAGAAAAGCAGCTGGTCGAATTTGCAACTCAAGCAAGCACAGACATACTCTGCTTGAAAATAGCCGTGCTGCTCAGGAGGTGGAGGAAACACTGTGCCTTCTTCCCATTTTATTACACAGGACATAGAACATTAAAAATAACGTGAGCTTTAGGGTAAAGATGTAATAAAACTGTTATGTTTCCTGCTTCGTCAAGTGTCTGTAAGTGAATCTGGCATTTTTAAAAAACCAACTCACAGTATGCATCGGTAAACAGTACAATGAATAGTCATCCTGTTAGTGTCCCTGCTGGGATTCATGGTAACGCCCAGCAGTCTCACCCACCATGGCTTTTGCTCCAACAGTGCAAATGTCAACACCATGAGAAAGGCAAACAGCACCTCAGCATTGTCATGAAAACGATTTTCTTCTTACAGATCACCTAAAATTGTCTCAGGGATCCCTACAGGTCTGTGAGCTACATTTTGAAAACATCTAATACAGTGCTAAAATTTTAGTTTATTTTTAATGTTTGACCATTACAAATGAGGCATCAAATGAACTTCTTTATGCATTGGCCTTTGTCTGATTTTAAGATTATTTCTTTCGAGAAAAATTTCCAGAAGTATGACCATTGGATAAATAGGTATAATACTTTAATGTAATTTTTAGGAGACATAGATTTAAACGAAAGCCCTTTGAATCATTAACATTTATTCTTTAAATTTGCCAGATCAGTATAAATGAATGTATTCATCTTAATCCTTTTGAAGTGACAGAAACCAACTCAAACTAGCTTATGGCCAAAAGAATAATTTATTGTCTCTTATAAACAATATATTTATGATTTTAGGAAATAATTCTATTGAATAATTTTTTCTTCAGGAGCTTCTTTTCTTCTGAATACTTATCATATAGTATAAAACTTGTCAGCTCCTTTGCAAGTACTTGCAAACAAAAGAAGGAAAATATTATTTTATGTGGTATTTTATTGCCTGGAGAGAAATGGCAGTTGTTGGGATTTGGGGCTTGCCAAATTTTTCAGAATAGTCGGGAAAAGCTGCCTGGAAAAAGTGAGATTTTGAGCAAAGATGTGAAGGGGTTCAAGACAGCTCATGGATACCTGGGGAAGGGACATCCTAGGTAAAGGGAAGAGATACAACCACGGTGTCTAGAGTTTGCCTGGCAAGCTTGAGGAATAACAGAGAGGCTGGTGTGGTGGGAGCCAAGTGAACAAGAAAACACTAAAAGGCCCTGAGTCAGAAGGAGCAGAACCTTTTCACGGGGGACTTACTAGATCAGGACTTCGGTTTTCAGGACGTGGGGTTTTCTGCTGAGTGAGATGGGGGCTTTATTGGATGACTTTAAACAGAAAAGTCACATGGCCAGACTAAGGTTTTAAAAGGATGCTTTTAGCCAGGCAAGGTGGGACGAGCCCGTAGTCCCAGATACTCCAGAGGCTGAGACAGGAGAATACTTCCAGTCTAGTAGTTTGAGGTTGTGGTTGTGGTGCACTATATTTGCACCTGTGAATAGACACTGCACTCCAGCCTGGGCAACATAGTGAGACCCCATCTCTAAAAAGAAGAAGGACGCATCTGATTCCTGTGCTGAGAATGGTCTATTCGGGGAAAGGGGGCAAGTAGAATGACCTGTTGGAAAGTGAATCCAGGTGAGAGATGATGGTGGCTTGGACCAGGGGGAGAGCAGAGGAGGTTGGGGGTAGAAGACAGACTCCGGATCTATTTCGAAGGTCTATTCAGTCGGTTTTCCTAGTGGTTGGATACAGGTGTGAGGAAAATAAAGACATCAAGGATCAGGTCAGGCTTCTGGCCTGAATATCAGGAAGAATGGCATTGCTTTCTACTGAGTCAGCAGAAGATGCAGTGGAGCCGTTTGAGGAAGGCGATTAGGAGTCTAGTTATCGATGTGTTGAGGTTGAAATACACACTAAACAAAGAAGTGGATGCTGTCAGTAGGAAATTAGATATGGGAGAGTAGAGTTCAGGAATCCAGGCTGCAGATCTGGTGACATCAGTGAATAGATGATGTTCAACACCAAGGCCTGAACAGGACCCTCAGGGGACTTTGTGCACTACACCGCAGATTTTAACTTCATATGTACAGGCTTCCCCAGCCCCCAGTCAGGCTCACATTAGAACCCTTCACCAAATATCTGAAAATAAAGTCTGACAAAAATTCAAACAAGGACTGTTTGAAATGTAAGTTTACCTATTTTTAGATTTCCCAGATTGGCACAGATCCATGTATTGACTATGACCCCATTGGTTGCAAGGTGCGAGAACCCAAATTACCTTTGCTTAAGCAGCCAGGTGCAGAGGCTCACTGCTGTAATCCCAGCTACTTGGGAGGCCTAGGTGTGATGTGGTACGCACCTGTAGCTCCAGCTACTCCGGAGACTCAGGCAGAAGAATGGCTTGAGGCCAGGAGTGCAAGACTGTGGTGAACTACTTCCAAAACACAGTAACAGTTTTACACCATTCGCAATCTTAGCCTTTACTCAGAACTTAGAAGGGTCTTAAATAAAATGACTTCTGAACATTTAAGTTTACATTTTAAAATATTTTAACCTCAGCACTTTGGGAGACCGAGGCAGGAGGATCACTTGAGGCCAGGAGTTTGAGATCAGCCTGGCCAACGTGGCAAAACCTGGTCTCTACTAAAAATACAAAAATTAGCCAGGCATGGTGGCACACACCTGTAATCCTAGATACTCAGGTGGCTGAGGAGGGAGGATGGCTTGAACCCAGGAGGCGGAGTTTGCAGTGAGCCAAGATAGCACCACTGCACTCCATCCTGGGTGACAGGGAAGACTCTGTCTCAATCAATCAATCGATCGATCAGTAAAATGTTTTTAAATGAAATATTAATATATAAAGTAAATTATACTCCAATGGTCAGGATTGTAGTTTATCAAGGCTTTTTAAAAATTAACCTTTACTATTTTCAGTTACCAAGTATTAGGGGAGGGAGATAAGAAATTAGCTAAATTTTAGGAAAAGACTTAGAATTTTGGCTTTCCCTGTGGATTAGGATTGAAAGAGACTTTCTTATTTTGTTCATGTAAATGCAGCTCCACTACTTTTCCTGGGAGACCACACAGTGAATATTTCAGCCAGCTAATTTTGGAAGAGCAAACCTGAAGCCTTAAAAATTGGCTTCCTTGGGAAGTGGAAGTGGCCCACTTGATCCCGGCAATAATGCTGCTAACAGGGAAACCAAATTATTGTTATCTTGTCCCCAGGAGGTTCGTTTTAAATACTGGATATAGCGGAAAGTGTGTGCATATGTGTTTAGATGATATTTGGAAACAATACTATTTTTTCATCATGTCTTTTCCTGGCAATAGTCATAACCCTTTGCTTATTTTGGAGCATATGCCTGCAATTTTTTTTATTTCAAAGATTGATATAAATAATATGCTTATTATTGATGGTGGTTGAAGCTTAAGCAGTTCTGAAATATATGTAACTATCCAGAAGTGCAAGTTTGCTGCCTTCAAACATATAGGCAGAAGTAAAAGTCAAAGTCCCTTCTTTCACTTCATTTCAACTTAACAAGCAGTTTTATATTTAACACATTTTCAAGCTTTGTCTTTCCCATTTTAGGTGCCACATTGAACTTGAACGGTGCTTAATTGCGTGTTCTAATTGCTGGGGATCAACACTGCCAGGAAAGTTAATTGGCTGCTGGATAAAAATGTCACCTTTTATTTATATTTATATAAAACTTTATAGTTTACAAAACACTTTCATCTGTGTCACCTTAATTAATACAGTGACTCTGTAACGTAGATAAAGCATAATCAGGGAAAGAATAGAAGAGAGATGAGGCTGCGCACAGTCACCCAGTAATACATTCAAGACTCAAACGCAGATGTTTTGATTCCAACACAACCCGTGGTGACTCTCAGAAGAATAATTCGTATTGCAGCGGGAAGCCAGGGTAGGAGTGGGGAGAAATGAATACAAAGAACCCAGGAATAAAGCTATTTAAAAAGTCAAGACAGACAACATGTTAAAATGTAGGGCAAAAGATATTGAGGGACTAATTTAAGAGAGATAGCATTTGTTAAATTGGAGAGAGGAAAAGGAGAGAATGGATTTGGTGAAAGAGGGCAGGTCAGAACAAGAAAGGACTCCAGAAGCTCTTGCTTGGGAGATGGAGAGGCTGAGAGGAGCGATGTGGCACCTGAGTGTCTTGGCGAAAGCCTTTGGATGGCGGGGTTGGTCTTAAGTGCCTGTGGATCACCATTCTGGCTTCAGACCATGGGGATTTAAAAAAATAGACAGGAAAGCAAACTAAAATTCATAGAGAAGGGTAGTTAAAATCACAGGTAAATAAATGTCTAAGAAGCACCAAGCTTTCAGAGTCATATTTTATGAGGATTTTTAAAAGTGAATGTTTGCCAATAGTGAGATGAAATGGCCATGCTAGGAATGCAGAGAACAACAGAAACATTCGCTTTTACATATTTCATTCCATTTCTATATTTGTGGCGATTTCTCATTTTAATGTACCAGCATTTTTTTACCATGTCCTCCTTCAAATTGAAGGGAGAATTAGATGTCACTGCCAGGGTTTTCAGCTCTTGTGTTGGTGGTACTTTGTGTACTGTAGCCCAACAGGGACACTGTTCTGCACATTTTGACGTTAAAATCCTGCTTCCCTGCAGCTTTTTGTCCTGTGCTGTGTCTCGTCTGTCACCGTAATGTCTTGCTGTATTGCTGTTGGTGCAAGTGGGGAAATGAATGCTGAGTTAAAAATAATGCTGTGAGTGTGTCTGCTCGCCTTCCACTCGAGGTGAGCGGCCGGGGATGCCGTCTTCTAATGACATCATTCTTCAAAGGCTGGGAACAAATGTCATCTCGCCTAGGTGGAGGGACAGCTTTGTGCACAGAAACAGCCTTGGCAGTTTCCCCACTCCTGCTTTCAGACATTTGCTCATTAGCTGTTCCAACCTTGGCACTATCAGCTTCCACTGAATTCCAAACCCAACTCTGTTGGCAAGGAAAGGTCTTTCATTCTTAATCTGTCACTTTCTTCCACTTTCTCCTACTATCTCTCTAGATACTGGAGTTACTTGCAATATTGTTTATGGAAAGGACAGCATTTTGAGTTTATTTTTCCATTTTAGTTCCTCATTAAAGTGGAGCAATGGTTAACTTAAGCTCCAGTTTGCTGGGGTCTTTTGTGTGTGGCCATACACTGCAGTCATCCACATATTTTCATATTTATTTTTCAACAACGACTTGGGAATTGCAGAGCTTCTATTATGAATAATACACGAGAAATATAGACCTGGGGAAAAATAGAATGGTAACGTATTAAATGTATAATCCTTTTATGTTAATTTATTATTTAAAATGAGAATTTATACTCTCTTTTTAATTTAATACCCTAATGTGAGAAAAGAAAGCTAATGAAGTGGGAACTTTCACTGTCCTCCCTTTTTAAATGACGCAAGAAAGCACTCATGCTTCAATATACTTAAATGGATGCATTGGCTCAGCTACCCTGGGGGTTTATGCTCTCAAGTGTCTGCAGAAGAGAGGTAGGATATCAAAATTGAGTGCAGGACTCAGCTTCTATGGGTTCCTTCAGACAGGTTTGTCCTGGAGGTGGAATGACTTAAAATTCCTCTATTCTAGAAATCGAAGCAGACACCTTTCTTTAAAATATGGCATTTTATTAAGTGTTTTATAAGCGATATCTCAAATTACTTTACCCTAATTGGAGGGAAAAAAAGACTATGTGTAAGATTGGTTTCATTATGAAAGAATGCTATATATATATATATGTATAATATATATTTATTATATAATACATATATAAATATATGCATAATTTATTATATATAAATATATGCATATAATATAATAAATATATAATTTATTATATATAAATATATGCATATAATATAATAAATATATTTTGATATATATAAATATATGCATAAATATATGTTATGTATTGCATATATTACATTACATATTGATTTTAAATGTATATACATGATTTTTTACATTGTAAATAAAATAATATGTATTTACATTTTAAATAAAGTGATACGTATTTCCTGTGTATAGTATAATGTTTTGAAATATATATCCATTGTGGAATGACTAAATCTGATCAAATAACATATAGGTTGTCTCACATAGTTATCATGTTTGTGGTAAGAACACTTTACATTCACTGTAAACATTTTTCAAGAATACAATAAATTATTAGCTACAGTCACCATGTTGTACAATAGATCTCTTGGACTTTTCCTCCTGAAATTTTGTGTCCTTTGACACACACCTCCCCAGTAACTCCAGCCCTTGGGAACCACCATTCTCCTTTCTACTTCTATAAGATCAACCTTTTTAGATTGCATATATGAGTTAGATGATGTGGTATTTGCCTTTATGTGCCTGGCTTATTTCACTTAATATAATGTTCTCCAGGTTCATCCATATTGTCACAAAGGACTACAGCTCACTCTTTCTTAAGGTTGAATAGTCTTAAGGCTGAAGGTCCTTATTTTATTTTTTATTTTTATTATTTATTTATTTATTTATTTATTTATTTATTTATTTATTTATTTAGAGACGGAGTCTCACTCTGTGGCCAGGCTGGAGTGCAGTGGCGCGATCTCGGCTCACTGCATCCTCTGCCTCCTGGGTTCAAGTGATTCTCCTGCCTCAGCCTCCCAAGTAGCTGGGACTACAGGCGTGCACCACTATGCCCAGCTAATTTTTGTATTTTTAGTGGAGACAAGCCTTCGCCATATTGACCAGGATGGTCTCAATCTCTTGACCTCGTGATCTGCCTGCCTCGGCCTCCCAAAGTGCAGGGATTACAGTTGTTTTATTTTAACTTGTCCCTTTTTTTGGCAACCATTGTGTATGTATACCATATATTTTTTAATCCATTCATCTGCTGGTGACCATTTAGCCACTTGAATCCATATCTTGGCTATTGTAAACAATGCCACAATGAACATGGAAGTGTAGATATCTCTTCAACACACTGATTTCATATCCTTTTCATGTATACCCAGTAATGGGATTGCTAGAAAATATGGTGGTTCTATTTTTAATGTTTTGAGGAACCTCCATACTATTTTCTATAGTGAGTATAATAACTTGCATTCCTATCAATACAGTACAAAGCTTCTCTTTTCTCCACATGTTCACCGATGCTTGTTTTTTTCATGTTTTTTATAATAGCCATTCTAACATGTGTGAGATGATAACCTCATTTTGGTTTTAGTTTGCATTTCCCTGATAATTAGCGATGTTGAGCATTTTTTATATACCTGTTAGCCATGTATGTCTTCTTTTGAGAAATGTTTATTCAGGTTCATTGCCCATTTTTTAATATTCATTCAATTTGCCTATTTTCAAATCAGGTTGTTTTCTTGCTATTGCATTGTTTGAATCCTTTATATATTTTGGATAGTAACCTTTTATCAGATGTACGGTTTGCAAATATATTCTTTCCTTCTATATATAGGTTGTCACTTCATTCACTCTGGTGATTGATTCCTTTGCTGTGCAGAAGTTTTTTTAGTTTGATGTAATCCCATTGTTCTATTTTTGCGTTTGTTGTCCATGCTTTTGGGGTAATAACCAAAAGTCACTGCCCAGAGCAATGTTAGGAGATTTTTCCCTATGTTTTCTCCTAGTAGTGTCATAGTTTAGGCCCTTCCATTTAAGTCTTAAATCCAGTTTGAGTTTAATTGTGTATATGGCATTAGAGACATCATAAATTAAAGTTAATGATCTAATTCCATTTTTCTGCTTGTGGGTATCTAGTTTCCCCAACACCATTTACTGAAAAGACCCCATTGTGTGCTCTTGGCTCCTTTGTTAAAAATCAGTTTGCTGTAAATGTGTGGATTTACCATTCTGGTCCATTGGTCTATGATTTTATGGAAGTACAATGCTGTTTGGTTATTATAGCTCAGTAGTATATTTTGAAGTCATGTGGTGTGATGCCTCTAGCTTTGTTCTTTTTCCTCAAGATTGTTTTGGCTATTCTGGCTCTTTTTTGGTTATATTGGAATTTTAGGATTTTTTTTTCTATTTCTGTGAAAAATGTCATTGGTATTTTGGTAGAAAGTACATTGACTCTGTAGGTCACTTCAGGTAAGATGGGCATTTTAACAACATGAATTCTTCTCATCCATGAACACAAGTTATGTTTCCATTTATTTCTGTCTTTCTCAACTTCTTTCACCAATGTTTTATACTTATCACTGTAGAGATCTTTCACCTCCTTGGTTAATTTATTCATAAGTATTTTAGTTTTTGTAGCTATTGTAAATGAGATTGTTTTCTTTAATTTTTTTCAGATAGTTCACTATTAGTGTATACAAACACTACTGATTTTTGCCTTGTAGCTTTATCATATGATTATTTCAATAGGTGTAGAAAAATACTTGACAAAATTTAACATCCTTTCATGATAAATATTCTCAACAATTTAGATACAGAAGGAATGTTCCTCAACATAATAAAGGCCATACATGACAAACCTACAGCTAACATTGTACTCGAGACAAGTTGGAAGCTTTTCCTTAAGATTCTGAACAAAAAAAAAAAGATGCACACTCTTGCCACTTCCATTCAACATGTCACTGGAAGTCTCAGCCAAAGCAATTAGGCAAGAGAAAGAAATACAAGGCATTCAGATAATTCAAATTGGAAAGGAAGAAATTAACTTGTTTGCAAATGACATGACCATATATATAGAAAACCCTAAGACACTACCAAAAAGGATTAGAAGTAATAAACCAATTCAGTAAAGTTGCAGGATACAAAATCAACATATAAGAATACAATTCTTTTATTTAGTTAAAATTGCAAGATAAATTATGTTTTATAATACTTGTTGCACTTGCTGAACATGGGAAACTTAGAGAAGGAGAGAATTATGTAGAGATAAGAAAGGGAAAAGAATGCCAAGCAAATTACTAACACTTTTGCTGTCTAATTCATAATTAATCTGCAAATACACACACGTTTGTGCACACACCACAGGGAAAAACTCTTTGGCAGTGCTAAAAATAATGCCGTGATAATGACATTTTAAGTCAGAAATAACAACTCTCAATTATTCAGAACCATGCGGTAGGATCTTTTATATGCATTGACTCAAAACACATGTAAATTGTTTAAATATATAAATTCAATAAAATTGTGTACTTCATACACCTATATAACATTTATATGCATTATATTTTAAATATAAAGATATATAAATATAAAACACAAATATAAATATACATATAGTTATATATGTATATTATATATAAGTACATATATATGTGGTTACAGATATATAGATGCATGATACAATTATAGACTCTTAGAATCTTAGGGCTATAAATCAGCTTGAAGTTCATCTAGACCAGCCTCCCATGTGATATTCAACATGCCCCTGGACTGTACCCCACATTTTTCTAGACTCTTCCTGCACGATCTGTGCAGTGGTTCACTAAGCTCTCAGCCCTTTCTGTTTCTACATGGCTGTGATTGTCAGACAGTTCTTCCTCTGTCTGACATACATACAAATAGAGATACATACAAATATGCCTTCTCTAGCTCTTCTCTTCTTTCTGGTTCGAATATTCCCTCTAGAGCAACACTAAATAGTTCCCCGTTTCTCCACATAAAGCTCCCAGTCGTGCAAAAGACTAAGCTTTGTCTTCCTGGCTAACCATCTCTAGCGTCCCCATTTGTTTAAATACTTTGTATGCAACGAAGTTCAGCAGCTCCTTTCCTTTGAAGGACACACTGATGTGTCTATTTTGTCTCAATGAAACATAGCCCTCTGGGCATTTTCTAATGAATAAAAGAGGGGAATGAGAGTGCCACCTCTGTCCTGAAGACAAGAACGCCTAGTTGCAGCCCATGTCCCACTGTTGAGCCATGGTTTGGGACTCATGAACAAAAATCCCAATGGTGAATTTTGTTTTTGTTTTGTCAACTTTTGGCTGACACCACACCATTATCATCTGTCCATGCAAGATCCTTATTTTGTTTTATTTTAACTTGTCCCCCCTTTTTTCAACCATCCACCAATTCTGGTATCGTTTGTCCCTGTCTCATAGGCACAGACTTATGTGTACTTAATATATTTATTTTAAATTAATTTTCTGGCATCCTTATTTAGACATGCATGTAAATATATACAATAACAGCACAAAAGTGAATGCTTAGTTTGCCCCCCACCCAGCCCTTTGACTCTGTACAAATACTACCATGGGTATCTTATAAATGTGTCCATGTGTAGTATTAATATTACTAGAGGGCCAGTAGTAGAATTGTTAGGTCATAGAATTTAACTTCACTAATAATTGCATAGCCACTCTCCAAAATTCCTATACCAGTTTACTTTACCACCAGCTATGCATTAGAGGTCCCAGTTCCCCGCATCCTGGTACCTGTGTTTCTATTTGTGACAAAGCTGATTGATGTAAAGGAGCTCTTTGTTTTAATTTGTTTTCTTTTCATTACTATTGTGCTTGAATGTCTTTTTATACTCTCAGGAGATGTCTGAGGATTTCATCTATGCATTGCTTTGTGCATTTGCTATCACTCCTGCTACTTCTTCCTGCTTTGCTGTAGTTCTTTAGTATAAATATGAATCTCTTATTACTTAGAAATGATTGTGAATATCTTTTCCAAGGCTGTCTTTTCTCTCTTAACTTTGCCTTTGTCTTCATTTGGACCTTGTTTAAGAAATTTATGAGCTCATGAAGATGCATTCCTATTTTTTTCTGTATTTGTTCTATGTCTCTATTTTTGCTGTTTGCATTTAGGCCTTCAACCCACACTGAGCTTCACAGATATAGTAAAGCTGGGGTCCAATATATTTTCTATCTATATCGAGTCAGTTATCCCAATATTTATTAAATGACCCATGTTTTCTTCTCCTCTCCATCTACCAAGATACCATGATGGTGCTGTCAGAGGCAGTCTTAGTTCTGTGAAATATATTGACTACCTTTTTATACCCTTGTCTCACTGTAACATATTTCAGCACTTTACTTAAAAAAAAGCCTCTTCAAGTCAGTTATTATTAACCAAGCTTCTAAAGAGCTATGACCTTTTCTAAGCCAACGTCATGAAAAATACTTCTCAAGCAAATAATCTATTACTAACAATCCTTGTAAAAAAACTAATTGGAAAAATAAGCCAAGTTTTAAAATGAATACCAGTGATTTTATGAATCTTGTTTACTTTTGTTATTAAGCCTGGTTGTCGTCACCTCTGGTTGGGGTCACATGGCTTTGCTTCCATCAGAAGTCCATATAAACAAAAATAAAATAATTGTACCTCATCTAGATGACACTTTTCTCTAACTAAATAAGTAAAACATGAGATATGTTTCATTTTCTTGATGCCTTGATGATTCAAATGGCTTTTCTTTTCATATTAAAAATGCAGAAAAGTAACTCAGTTTTATTACAGTCTTCTGTATGAAGGTATTATTGCTCTCAACCAGGGGAAACATAACCTGTCATCCTGCTCAGACCATGGTGACTCTAATTGTTTACATATAGATATTATCATAAGTTTTTAAGTTCTTGGTCGTTTTAATCTTTTAAAGAAACTATTTCAACATAATATGATTATGGCTTTACAATACACTCCATAAAAATAACTTTCAAGAGATGTTTCATATGATTGAAGACTCAAATGGCCCCAAGAAATTATCCAGTTCTTTCCACCACATTCCCCTTTAGGCATCTGGTTGACAATATTGCAGGGCATCCATTTTTTTTGGAAGTGCATTGGAAGGAGACACTGCCATGCTTCTCAGAGTTTGTTTTACTCTTTTACGCCCCCAAATTTCAAGTAGTTTATTTTTTCCCTTTATTGTATCCAACTTGCATCTTTTGTGTTTCTCTTTATTATAATTCTACTTTATGCCTTGGGATATCTTTTTCTTGTTCCTAAAACATTTTAATTATTTTTTTCCTCCCATGGACTTACTTGATAATTTTAAACAATTTTTGGGAAAAAAGTTATTTGCCTTCCTTTTATTTCCTTTTCTCTCTCTCTCTTTTTTTTTTCTTTTTTTTTTTTTTTTTTTTTTTTTTTTGAGACAGAGTTTCACTCTTGTTGCCCAGGCTGGAGTGTAATGGCACAATATCGGCTCACTGCAATCTCTGCTTCCTGGGTTCAAGCAATTCTCTACCTCAGCCTCCCAAGTAACTGGGATTACAGGGGTGAGCCACCATGCCCAGCTAATTTTTGTATTTTTAGCAGAGATGGGGTTTCACTATGTTGGCCAGGCTGGCCTCAAACTCCTGACCTCAGATGATCCGCCCACCTCAGCCTCCCAAAGTGCTGGGATTACAGGCGTGAGCCACTGCACCCAGCCCCCTTACTTCGTTGTTATATTTATGACTCTTTACCTCTTTTCACAGTCTAGCAGTCTAAAATAAGCATCCTATAGAAGAACTACTTTGTTTAAAATCATTGTAGAAAAGTTAGCTACTCTTATTCCTGATATATTCCAATTATTAGAGAGAAAAACTGAATTTTTGCTCAGAACACTAGCTAAACTTGGGCCAGCTGAATGAGCAAAAACAACAAAACAAACACAGCATTTTTTTTAAGTTAGTGAGCAACAATTTTAAAATTCACCTTTTAAACGTTTTCCCTTGCTTCTTTTTTTATTCTTCTTCTATCTTTTCCTTGTTCTGAGGGAAAATAACAAGATACTTTTCATCATGTATAGAGGGGTATATTTGAAAGAGAACTCAGCACTAATTCTCTTCTAGTCCCAGTCCCAGATGAGTTAAAGTAATGTGAATGGATGGTTGAAGTATATGGAGAGTGTGTCACACACAGACCTGGTTTTGTTATTAATGGTGCATGCATTTTTGCTGTAGATGAAACAAACCATTGTGGTTGGGTTTTTCGGGAAGCTGACTCTGAGATGGATGCTAGTGTGAAGAGTGTTTATCAAGGAGTGCCTTATGATCAACAACCGAGGAGGGAAGGACAGGAAGAAGGACTGGGCGAAGAAAGAGTGAGCTGGGATGCAGGCCAATGACAGTGAGCTCTGGAGCAAGAACAGTCCTTCAGGGTTGTCCTGAGTTTGGGCAGAATTGCTCCTCAATCAGTCACTAGATTGAGGACACTCCAAAAAAGAGCCTGTCCTTGGGTGAAGTGGGCCTCTGCAGCTGAGACAATCTCCGAGGTGGCCAATAACTTCCAGATGACATCACCCCATGAATTGGTGGTAACATGTCCTTTCTTGAAAGGAATCTGGTCAGTGCAACTCCTCCCACTTACGTAGATGTCAAATGGCTATACATGTGGGTCTTAAACACCTTTTCCTAAACACATTTTTTCATTCATTTGCGCCCACTGGCCGGGCGTGGTGGCTCACGCCTGTAATCCCAGCACTTTGGGAGGCCGAGGCGGGTAAATCAACTGAGGTCAGGAGTTTGAGACCAGCCTGGCTAACATGGTGAAACCCTGTCTCTACCAAAAATACAAAAATTAGCCAGGTGTAATGGCGGGCACCTGTAGTACCAGCTACTCGGGAGTCTGAGGCAGGAGAATTGATTGAACCTGGGAGGCGGAGGTTGCCATGAGCCGAGATCATGCCACTGCACTCCAGCCTGGGCAACAAGATGGGAAACAAGAATCTGTCTCCAAAAAAAAAAAAATTGCTCCCGCTTTCTATAATGACATGAGTCCAATATTTCAAATTAGAAATGAGAAATATTACAGTGTACCATAGTGTATTGTGTTGTAGTTCATAGCTCAATTGGACCTTTGTCATCAGAACAAGTTTCAACTCAAAAAATCTCTTTAGTTTTGTGAGTGCTAAGATGTTTTTTAAAAATGTATTCAGGTAATACTTGTGCGTCTGCTGTTAATGAGATCAAGTAATAATAGGATGGTCACTGCCAGCAAGGTGTTGGGGTCTGTGGGAGAACCCACAGACAAATGATGGCAACACACGACAGGAAGCAGCAAATGTCCTGGGCGAGGGGCAGCAGAAGGTCCAAAACAGCAGCCATGACACCTGGCGCAGGAGAACAGCAGGGAGACAAAGAAGACAAATGCAGACATCAACACAATACCATCAGAGAAATATGCAGTATGTGTTTTAGGAGCAGAGGAAGTGGACATTTATCTAATTCTGGGCATAGGGTAGGCTGAGAAGTCTTGAGGAGCCAAAAAAGAATGTCCAAGAAAAGCTGAGTTGAATCTCAAAAGGGTCTAGCGCCTGAAACGGTTTCCAAAAGCAGAAACAATTGAGTGTAGTTTTGCCATTATAAGATGATCAGAGTGAGAATGGGGCTCGGACAGGGTGTGGGGACAGAGGTGGGTCAGGTGCAGTTGCTCACATGTAAGAGCCCCTATGGCTGACACAAAGGATACTCCCAGTAAGCGAAGGTCTGCATCTGCACAGAGAGGACCAGGCCTCGGAGAGTTAGCACATCCTGCTGAATCCTAAAGGTGTTGGAGCAGAGGTAAATGCTCGCAGCAATGTTTTAGAAACATTAATCTGGTTGAGGTGGGTAAGGTATATCACAGTGCAGAAAGATGAAAAAAAAAAAAAAAAGAATGACCAGTTAGGACACAATTGAAAGAGTTGTAATTAAAAAGGTGATAGTACTGTGTTTGGAAAAAGAGAAACCACACAAAAGACATGTTGAGAATTGGAGTAGACAATACATAGCAGCACACTCTCAGCAGCTGGACACAAAAAGAAATGCACAACTAGGAACGCTTTTATTATTCGAAGCTTCTTGCAACCAAAATATTTTGCTATCACTACTAAGAACAGAGAATTGAAGAAGCTTAGATTAAGGGGAAACTTGCTATGTTTGGTTTGGGATTTGAGATACTTCTGAGACATCAAGATGAAGATATTGACATACTACTGAACAAGCAGGCATGAATCTTGAGAAGGAGTTTTTGTTTGAAAATTTAGATTAGGAGTCAACAGCATTGAGCTGACAGCTGGGGCAAAGGAGGTGCTGAGACCATCAGGGAGAGAGAAGGAAGAACAAGGCCAGGTCAGGACACTGAGGAACAATGGTTCCATTAGCGTATGATTAGTAAGAGACATTCCTTTCCATCTGAATTGTTGAACTATTTATTCATGGTTTTCAATCTCATAATTCAATTTTGTAATGTGTAGTATGATTCTTCAAATGAATGTGATATCCACCCTCATTAACTTTTGCCATGGGATCTATGAACTCTCATAAACTCTTGTAGGGTACTTATCTATCTTTTAGACATTTAAAGTAAATACACATAAATGAACAGAGATGGTGACTGATAGGGTTTGGCTGTGTCTCCACCCAAATCTCATCTTGAATTTTACTCCCATAATTCCCACGTGTTGTGGGAGGGATCTGGTGGGAGATAATTGAATCATGGGGGCAGTTTCCTCATACTGTTCTCGTGGTAGTGAATAAGTCTTATGAGATCTGATGGTTTTATCAGGGATTTCCGCTTTTGCGTCTTCCTCATTCTCTTTGCCTGATGCCATCCATGTAAGGTGGGACTTGCTTCTCCTTGCTTTCTGCCATGATTGTGAGGCTCCCCCAGCCACGTGGACCTGTAAGTCCAATTAAACTCTTTCTTTTGTAAATTGCCCAGTCTTGGATATGTCTTTATCCACAGCATGAAAATGGACTAACACAGTGACAAAATTTATTATTTTAAAGAATATATTACTGGCCCATTTAATTAACTTAGAAATAATTTCAAATCATATTTACTATAAAAAAATTGTGTGATACAATTCTAATAATGGAACAAAGCTAACACTGCAATGGCCATATTAGAATCTTTATTGTGTAAAATAAAGAATAATTCTATATAGGAAAAACAATATGCATTATGAAATAATACCAGGAAATAAAATAATTCAATCCACTGTTTAAAATTACAATATAATATGAGGAAAGATTTTTATCACATCAGTAACTATAGCGGACATAATGTTCTTCTATTTTATTTCATTTAATTTTAAGTTCCAAGGTACATGTGCAGGATGTACAAGTTTGTCACATAGGTAAATGTGTGCCATGGTGGTATGCTGCACCTCTCAACCCATCACCTAGGTATTAAGCCCAGCATGCATTAGCTATTTTTCCTGATGCTTTCCCTCCCCTTACCCATGCTTTCACATGCTTTCTTCCTCTCCCTGTGTCCATGAGTTCTCATTGTTCAACTCCCGCTTATAAGTGAGAACATGCAGTGTTTGGTTTTCTGTTCCTGCATTAGTTTGTGGAAGATAATGGCTTCCAGCTCCATCCATGTCCCTGCAAAGGACATGATCTCATTCCTTTCTATGGCTGCAAAGTATTCCATGGGGTATTTTTACCACCTTTAATCTCTTGGTGCCCACTCTGAGTGAGAATTGTGAAATTTGGCCTGCATGATTTAGTTGTTAGTATGGCTGTGGTCAAAAAGTCAAAAGATAACAAGTGTTGGCAAGGCTGTGTGGAGAAAATGGAACCCCGTACAGTGTTGGTGGGGATGTAAATTAGTGTAGACATGATAGGAAACAATAGGAAGTTTCCTAAAAAAATTTATATAATCCAGTAATTCCACTACTGGGTGTATATCCAGAGGAAATGAAATCACTCTGTGAAGGGGGTACCTGTGATCCCACGTTCATGGCAGCACTATCCACGACAGCCAAGACATGGAAACAACTTAAGTGTCCATTGGTAGATGAATGGATAAAGAGAATGTCACACACACATACACACACACACACATGCACACACGAACATTATTTAGCCTTTCTTGTTTGTTTTCTCCAAGTCACAGCAGGTTCAGTGCCTTGACACTTTCTGAAACTAAGGAAGACATGGATGATTGGGTCCAGCTATTTTTTTCTGTCCATGGGGAACATGTTTTCTTAGAATGGAGAATGTGGCCAGAGAAAACTTTGGT
Organism: Homo sapiens; assembly: GCF_000001405.40. NCBI lineage: Eukaryota > Metazoa > Chordata > Mammalia > Primates > Hominidae > Homo > Homo sapiens. The sequence continues at coordinate 458,913 of NW_025791814.1, read as the reverse complement.
CTGCTGTTTTTACTTATAACTCCTCCCCTAAAGGAGGTATACTTCTCATTTGAGTACACCTTAAATAATTCAAAAGATGTAAATTTATCAAAATATACTCAAAACTCCTACTTCATTCATCCACAGAAATTCAAATGTGGTATTTCAAATCTATGTCTAGAGAAAAACAGATACTTGAAACATTTTTTAAAGTTTTGTATGATTTGGGCTATTACAAATATGCCCAAGACACAGTTCTTTAAGGAAACCTTAAAGATAGATCCTAAAAGTCATCTCCACCACACTGCAAGGACAATGCCTTGTCCTTCCCTGTCCTTCCCACCCAGAAGGCAGGGCCAAAGAATTCCCCACTGGCTCACTCTTGCCTTTTTCGCCTAGGTCAATGTCAGTTAATATCAGCTCATATTGAACCCCGCGGGGAGCTTGGAGTGAGAGGCTAAGAAGGGAAACTAATGGAATCTAAGTTGATGTGACCCACGCAGCCTCTGGTTTCTTTTAGCACCCACCGGCTCCAGCAATATCCTTATCACTCCCTCATCATATGTCTCTGCATCTTGGCCTCCTGCCCTTCCTGCTAAAGCAGGTGCAGGTCACGGGACCAGCAGCCTAAGTCACGGTAAGCTAGGTGCATCTCTGGCTGCTGCTGGTTGGAAGTCACCGATCTCAGGGAAACAAACTCACATAGCAATTCAGAGTTGGCGCGAGGACCGTACCTAAATAAACAAGGCCAGATATTGACTCAAGCTCCCCAACTGGCCCTGCCAGCAGAGGGGAGAGTTGGCACAGTAGTTAGAAGTCCTCGGCCCCTAGGCTAATAAGACTATGAAGAGGAGCTTCACTCTTGTCCCTGCCATGTCGTCATTATTAAGTCCTGGAAGTGTCTGCCTGCTCCTCTTTTCTAAGTCATTCTTTTTTTTTTTTTTAATTATACTTTAAGTTTTAGGGTACATGTGCACAATGTACACGTTAGTTACACATGTATACATGTGCCATGCTGGTGTGCTGCACCCATTAACTTGTCATTTAGCATTAGGTATATCTCCTAATGCTATCCGTCCCCCCTCCCCCCACCCCACAACAGTACCCAGAATGTGATGTTCCCCTTGCTGTGTCCATGTGTTCTCATTGTTCAATTCCCATCTATGAGTGAGAACATGCGGTGTTTGGTTTTTTGTCCTTGCGACAATGATAGACTGGATTAAGAAAATGTGGCACATATACACCATGGAATACTATACAGCCATAAAAAATGATGAGTTCATGTCCTTTGTAGGGACATGGATGAAATTGGAAATCATCATTCTCAGTAAACTAAGTCATTCTTAATGACTTCAGGATTGTCTAAAGTGCAGAGTGTAAACATATGTTCATCATCACCTCTGAAAGTTTTTTTCTAAAAAACATTATTCAATCAAAATGAACAAGACATCCAGGCTCGGTGGCTCACGCCTATAATCCCAGCACTTTGGGAGGCCAAGGCAGGTGGATCACATGAGGTCAGGAGTTCGAGACCAGCCTGGCCAACATGGTGAAACCCCGTCTCTACTAAAAATACAAAAAAAATTAGCCAAGCCTAGTGGCGTGTGCCTGTAATCCCAGCTACTTGGGAGGCTGAGGCAGGAGAATCACTTGAGCCCGGGAGGTGGAGGTTGCAGTGAGGCGAGATCATGCCACTGAACTCCAGCCTAGGCAACAAGAGTGAAAACTCCGTTTAAAAAAGAAAAAGAAAGAAAAGAAAAAAAAAGAACAGGACACTATTTATCCCACTAGTTGTGGGAAATAAAAAAGATAAACTTGATAGATCTCCTGCCCTCCTGGGTCACTCTACTTAAGAAAATGGGCACGTCCATAAATCACTGTACTCACTTGAGTCATCAATGTGATAAATTCCATACAAGAGTTTTGAACAAGAGTGAGTAGAGGAACCGCTTACTTGTGTTGTATGTACATTGTGGAGAACTGTATCAGACTGGGTCAGTAATCTAAAATTTAGCTAAACGATGTTGTTAAGTAGCAGAATTGACCAGATAACCAGACTTATGGGTGAGGAGATCTTGAAGGTATACCCCGGACTAGAAACTCCCACCTGCTCACAGCCTCATCATTTCGGAGTCACGCCTTGCACTGAACTGGACAGTAAATAGCCCTGTGGCTGCGCAGAAGAGCTACTTGCTGTCTATTTCAATGCAAGCTGATAATGAACTGTGTTTCATTATCACCTCGTTACACATGAAGAGATAGAATCGCAGAGCTAAATAAACTGGATCAAGATAACACTGCTAATCACCCAGAATTGACGAGCACCCCACCCATGATTTTATCAAAGTCTTATACGCCTCTTCTCTAGGAGAAATCAAAGCATTTCCCTCCATGAAGAAGAATATACAATTAATTTTTAAGAGACAAGACAGAAATATATCAGTCTGATCTAATATTCTTGTTAAGGGTTTAGATAGAGTAAGAGTCAAAATTGACATTTGGCAGTATTCAATGGCTCTGAGCTGCCTAGGAAAAGGACCCCCGCCATTATGTAGAGTGAAATACACAAGCCTGGTAATAAATGACCTTTATCAGATATTTACGTACTTCTTGTAGAAAGGGTATGTCAAAAGCGGTGTGTGTCATATTCAGGATTTCTGCTCCTATGATATACAAGCTTTTACTGTCAGCAAGATTCAGATAATTTACCTTATTTAGGTGATATCATGAATCAGGTAATCAGTGTGTCTCAAATAGGAGGTTCAGCTTTCCCAAAATCATGAGAAGAGTTTTCTAATCACTGGAGTTACTTTGTGCCATCGATCTTATGTCTTATGAATATAAAATATAAGGCTTAAGACGCTTTAAAAATTTTATGCATTTGTATGCAGCAGACTTGCAACTCACAGCTGATGCAAGCAAGGCAACTTAAGCAGTGAAGAAAGAATTGACATGATTGACAAATAGGTCTTGTGATTTAATTTACATTAACAATGATGTAATGTGCATACTGACCTAATGTGTCCTTACATAATGTGGCAAGCAAAGCAACACATAGCAAACCTAATTTTGACATTCTTCTGGGAAAACGCTTTTCCTTATGACTAAACTTTTCTTTAATATTTATTTTAACCATTTTGGAAAGGCTTTTTTTTGGTAGATATGTTTTAAAATATTTTAAATGTATCTTTTTATTTAATATGTTAACCGTGACTTATAATTCAGAATGCTAATTAAGTATTACGATTTTGTATTAATTACAAAAATGCTGACTACTAAGGGCAATGTGCTCCCAAACAAAATGTCATCCAACTACTGTGTGTGTTGCGTTTTTGTGTCTGTTCTTTATAATTTACTTTTAGTTTCTCACCCTCCTCCTTTTGCTTGCCAATTGTGGCTTCTTACTAAGCCCTCTTCAATATGCCTGAACTCCCAGAATCTGATTTAGGCCAAGATATCAGATAACTGACAGTGTTGTAATGATTTAAAATAAGATGTTCAAAGCAAGGGATTATCCTTGGAGTGATGTGTATGAGATTTAGTGCATTAGCTTTCTGACACTGGTTTTTCAGTGCTTTGGAAGTGTACTTCTTGATTTTCAGCCCTGTTGCTTTGTACTAAAGTAATGATAAAAATATTCCTTAAATACCATACACTGATGAATTGCAAATATTTTGGAATTATAGAAAACACAGGGTTTTGGTTTTCGTTTTGGTTTTAATGCTGATTCTTCTATAGCTACCTCTTACTTCTGTTCTTGAAAATTTGTATGTGCATATATTTCCTGTATTCTATAACTCTCTTATGCTCTAAAGGGACATTCTAATACTTTACAATTATTTACAACCTACACTCTATGTTTTCCTTTTTTTTTTTTGAGACGGAGTTTCGCTCTGTCTCCCATGCTGGAGTGCAGTGACATGACCTTGGCTCACTGCAACCTCAGCCTCCCGGGTTCAAGCAATTCTCCTGCCTCAGCCTCCCTAGTAGCTGGGACTATAGGTGCACGCCACCATGCCTGGCTAATTTTTTTTTTTTATTTTTAGTAGAAACAAGGTTTTTCCATGTTGGCCAGGCTGCTCACGAACTCCTGACCTCTGGTGATTTGCCCACCTGGGCCTCCCAAAGTGTTGGGATTACAGGCGTGAGCCACCACACCCGGCCTTCTTATTAAATAGCTAGATTAAAAAATATGCTATGTCTTACCTTTCTTTCTTGATTTGGAGAAAGTAAATCCTCACGTATTCCTTCTCCCTGTTGTAACTGATAGAGAAAATTAGCCCAGTAACCTTTCAACTTACCTGTTTTTTCCTCATCTTAAAGGCTTGTGAAATAGAACAAATGCTAAGAAACTGATTCAGATACACAACTAAGTTTGAGAATTACTGTGTTAACTCATTCAGAGCTCAAGGCAGCACTCTATTTTATAAATAAGGAAACTGAGACCCTGAGAGGGGTTAAGTAACTGTAGTAAGTAGCATAGCTGAACTTAAACCAAAGTAGCCTGGCTCCAAAGTTCTTATCTTAGAAAAATTGTCTGTAATTCAGACAGTAAGCACCAAGCCAAGGTTTGTCTGAGTATGCTGACAACCAGGTTTTTGTGTCCAGGAAATCAAAGGGGAGGAAATGTAATTATTTTCTTTAATAAAGCATAGCAATTTAGTATTAATAATATTTACATATATAGTGAGCATTTATGCCACTTGGGGGCAAGAGATTTAAAGAAATACAAGCACCTTTGGTACAACATGACATTTTCTCCAGCACATTCCAACTGAGAACGTTCATACCTCAGTCTGACCCGATTCTCTCCACCAGCACTGGATAGAATCTCATCCTGAGACCTTTATCTCTTAGCATCAGATCAGCCCTTTTCAATCCCAAAGATCTAACTTTACATGGAGAATCCACAGGAGGATTGACATTGAGTATGCTTGTCGGTACCTTTGACCATTTAAAAAAATTAATTTCCCTGGTAAAACCTAACTTGAGCTACCTACTTCTTCGACCTCTGGCTGTACTTGCAATTTTGAGTTCTAGCTCCCAACTGCTTTTGAAAGCAGACAGCCGTCATAGTGATAATACGAAATAAGAGAAGCGCCATGGCTGCACTTCCTTGCTGTCTGCGGCCTATGGCTATATATGGAAGCTCCACTGGCAGAGGCTGATGGGTTATGCTCATTGCTGTGTGCCCAGCACGTTCACTGCTGCCACACACATCCCAGGTGCTCAATAAACATGACTTGATTGAATGAACAAATAAATGAATGAATGGTTTTCTATTCAAATTTCTCAGCCGGATCCCTTACCTCTTCCTTAAGCTGATAGTTGAAATGGACTTACAATTGTTGAATAAACTGTAGAAATCTTTAATAACTTCATTAGGAAAAACTCGTAATATAATAATTGGTTTATATTAGATTATCACATGATTAATCATCTTAGTTTGTACTCTTAGTCATTTCCAAGCCCCTGCATACAAATAAACCTTTTTCTTTCCAAGAATGTATGCAAAAACACAAAAAAGGCTTACATTACAGGCTCTGATATTAGTTATATTGACATGATTTAAGCCCTCCGAGAATAGTTAACTAGTTCTAAGACCAAAAGGGCAAGGTAACATCTTTGAGTATCACTTTTCCCATCTGCAAAGTAAAGCAATAAATAACTAATCCGTAAGGCTGATGAAAGAGCATATTACTTTGCTCATAACTAACAAGTAACAGTTAGAGTTCAAATGTGGTTCATCTGACTCCATTTTAACTATTTCAGAATGTTAATACCCTATGACATCATCTAGGAGGGCACTGAGGAAGAGAGTTCCTAAGGCAAGGTGGACAAAACAGGCATCACTCAGCAAAGCTGAATCAGGAAAGAGCTTTCCAGGCTGAGTTTGCTTGCAGTGTCCATGGCAGGCCAGGCTGAAGGCTATAACCCGACCTCCTTAGCAATACATCAGCAAGTCAAATAACCTGCCACGGACCAGTTCACAATTAAAAGTTACACACGTAAAGTGTGCAAAACTAAGAGATGCAAAGTAAAGATGTAGTTATTCTAATATGAAATAAGAATTTATAATTAATGGTTGTTATTAGTTGGACATAACAGAGAACTTTAACAATAAAATTGGAATATTTATTTTACTTTTTTTTTTTTTTTTAGTTTTTTAGACACAGGCTGGAGTCACCCAGGCTGGAGTGCACTGGTGCCCTCGTAGCTTACTGCAGCCTCGAACTCCTGGGCTCAAGGGATCCTCCCGCCTTGGCCTCCTCAGTAGCTGGGACCAGAGGTGCACACCATCGCACCTGGCTAATTTTTTAAAAAAATGTTGTAGATATGGGGGTCCCGTTATGTTGCCCAGGCTAGTCTTGAACTCCTGGCCTCAAGTGTTCCTCCTGCCTTGGCCTCCCAAAGTGCTGGGATTACAGGTGTGAGCCACCACATCCAGCCAAAATTGGAATTTCTGCTTCTTCAGTGGGTTTAGAATATGCCTATTTACAAGGCAGGAAACAATTAGAAGGGGAACAGTAATTGTAGTGTCATAGTCGCAAAGTAGGAAAGAAACCTCCTCTTGTATACATCATTTTAAAAGGCTTTGAAGGAAAACCAAACCTAAATCCCTCTTTCACACTATTTACACTACAGATATAGTCTGAAATGTTTTCATTCAAAAATAATTTTTAAATTAAAGTTTGTTGAACAAAATTAACTTGCTGAAGTACAAATTGAACCATGGTTTTTATTTAAAATGATGAGAACATTCAAATAATAGAAGCAGAATTTCAAATTTGCTACAGTTCCTGTATTTCTATGCTGTATCTATGATCGTCTGTACTACCCTTTCAGTGCCGTATACAGGGTTAAAGGAAAAGCAAATGTAGAATAAGCACAGTTCGTTATTATCTTTCTTTTTTCTTGCAGTTCCGCCTTTCATACAACCCTTTGAGTTTCCAAGATTCTCCATTGGGCAGCGGGTCTTCATCCCCTGTGTTGTGGTCTCAGGGGACTTACCCATCACGATCACCTGGCAGAAGGATGGCCGGCCAATCCCTGGGAGCCTTGGGGTGACCATTGACAATATTGACTTCACGAGCTCCTTGAGGATTTCCAATCTCTCGCTCATGCACAATGGGAATTACACCTGCATAGCCCGGAATGAGGCCGCCGCTGTGGAGCACCAAAGCCAGTTGATTGTCAGAGGTGAGCAAAGGATCATGAGCCATGTGGCATCTGTAGAGTTGATTTAACAATGGTTTAAGATGATGGGGCTTGAAATATTTCGAAAATAACTGGAACTTAGAAATTCAGTTTTATCTCACTAAAAAAAAAAAAAAAAAAAAAAAAAAATACGACTCTAAACCCAACCATGAATTCCCCTAAACTCCAAGATAAGGTTTTATTTACCTAAAATATGTTTTAAATAATTAATAGCTAAGAAGGTGGGAACCATAGGATTTAATTCATGAAATAAGGCTTCCGTATGCTAAGCCAATGAGTTTTGAGGACTAACGTCCGTGAGCTTTTGCTTTATTGTATTCATATAATATTTTTAGTATTTCTTATTTCAATAAATGGTTTTTTAAAAAATATGTCTCAAAGCTATGTATCAAAGTTTTTCTAAAGAGCCATGAAATAGCTTTTCATAATGTTTGTTTTAGTTTTAGAAATGTGGTTTTCTTTGCCCATCTATTCTATTTAGCATTAAATCTATCATTATTTTGGGACGCCATTGCAACGTTTTAAAATTAAGCAGAGTATGGTAGTACTTATTCAAAAAAATTAAAATAGGGTAGGCTAACTTGTAGAAAACTGGCAGTAATCTCATTACATCTAAACTGTAAGCTTCAGTCTTATTTTGAACTTCTATTCAAGTCACCAAATTCCCATTAAGGCTCACACTCTTCATCTATGAAATAAGCTGCTAGTGTTCTCTAATGTATATCAAACACAGACATTCTGTGATGTTTATGATTCTCCAAGAGTACTATACATTAATCTACCATTACAATATTCATCCACATTGCAAAAGTAACTGTCTGAAGTTAAAGATTTATATTAACAATGATTATTTGCATTTTAAAATTCCCCAGATTGTGGTCCCAGAGTGGTTGTTAGGAGGGGGAGGATTTCTGTAATTTCCCAGAGAGTGGAGATAGCTCTTTCTTGAGCAGGAGATTCTCATGTCCTTCTTCATTCCTTACTCCTTGTCCCCTTGATACCTCTTCTTCCTTGCCAGCTGGGAAGAAATGCACTTTTTATCTACCTGCCAGCAAAAGGAAGTGACACAGACTTAGAAGTCATAGGAAGAAACTAACTTTGTATTTCTGAAAAAAAAAATTTCCAGGTGAATAATTTAGAAAATATATATTCAATTAGACACAAACTTAGCAGCCTCATGACATTTTTCTCATTTCCACCTTGCACTTTGGAGTGGAAGAATTGGGATACTTGATTTTTTCCCAAATTTTGAAAGATAAATAAAAAAGGGAGCCAACCTAGTATCTGTTTCCCAAGCGTTTTCTTATAAGCAGAGTTAACTCTTGGGTTTGTGAAGGGCAAAATAGTACATCAGCCTGCTTTCTATATAATCTGCTCTGAAGGATCCAGGCCAGGAATCTGAAACGTCAGATAAAAATGTACGGGGATGCTTTTTGTACAACTTGCCCTTGCAGAAAAGGCAACCAGAAGTTTTTAACCAAGGCAAAATCAGATGAGCTGAAAATGAGCCTAGCTATTTGGGATAATGTAGCTGATCATGATATGACTGATGTCTCCATGTGATTGTTCTTCAAATATGTTAAATAAGCTTTAGTTAAATTAATATTAAATCACCAGTGAGATAATGCAGCCTAGAGGAAGAAAATGTGCTTCACAAACAGGTCAGTGTGACTGGAGAAACAGGCAGGGACAAGGTGATGTGGGACTGTGGTTCTCAATCCAGACAGTTCTGTAGAATCTCCTGGGAGGCTTAAGAAAACACTGATGTGCATTTTTTGGTCCCAATCTACACCAATTAAATCATAATCTTTAGGGGTAAATCCATCTTCCAGATCTCTGGGGAATTGTTCTTTTTTCCCAAAAATCACTAGTTAGTGGTTCTCAAACTTTGTTGTACATTCAGATTGCATAGGGAGGTCTAAAAAGGTCCTGATGACCAGGATGAAGCTCCTGTCAATTAAATAACCATCTTTGGAGGTGGGACCCAGGCATCAATAATTTGTAAAATCCACAGGTTTATTCTAATATGTAGCCAAGTCTCAGTTCCAGCCCCCTGAGTAATTAGAACGTGCAGCCATTTTGAGGTGTGGATTTTCTTCTAGATTAAAGAGTTGGCACTGTTGACTTTAACCACCACAGCACTATGGCCTGATTGATCTTTTTAGTTGTCACACTAGTAGCTGTCTGAAGAATGGACTGGGCTAGAAAGCAAGAAGAGTAGTTAACAGGCTATTTCAGACATTCAGACAAGATAAAAATGCCTTGGATGAAGGTGTTAATGTTAAGGTCATGAGAAGCAGTGGAATTCACAATCTATTTTGGCGGTAAAGCAAATAAAACACGCTTATGGAGTGAATGTTGCAAATGAGATAAAGAAGAACCTTTAGTGGAATCATGCTTTGCCTAATAACAAGGTGAATGAAAGTGTCTTTAGCAGAAGCAGAGAAGAAATGAGGAAGAACGGTATTGACAAGGGGAATAATGGTCAATGATATGGGAGAAGCACCTGTCCCAGCAGTCACTAGGGCACTCCAGCATTTAAGGCCCCAGAATAAGAGAAGGAGGAATCAGCAGAAGAGACGAAGAGGGAAAAGGAGCAGCCTGTAAAGGAGGAGAAAATCCAGTGGACTGTGGCACTCTAGAAGCAAAATCAGAAATAAATCGAGAAAGAGAATATTAAACAGTATTGAATCCTGCTGAAAGTAGACAAAGAGGAAAACCAAGAGTTGGTCACTGGTTTAGGAAGATGGATATTGTTTATGACCTTGATGGATATTGTTTATGACCTGGTGTCATTGCAGCGAGGGCTTGATTAGAGGAGCTTCAGAAAAGAAAGAAGGTCAATGTGCAGGAACTCAGAAAACACAACTATTTTTATATTTTTAGGAATTTTGCTATCACAGGAGGCAGTAAAATGGAGACAAAGTTGGAAATGGACATGGGGCAAGGGCAGGAGTTATTTTTAAGACTGGATACTTTACAGCCTGCTTTATGCTTATGAGAATAAGCCAGTAGAGAGGAAAAAAATATGTGTCAAGATAAAGAGGAGATTATTACAGGATCAAAGTCCTTGAGTTAGTGAATGCAACCAGAATTCTTTGTACCAGTGCAGTAGTACGTTCAAAGTAGTATAATAACAACCATGGTGTGAAGCTCCAGTAGGTAGCACCAACAGAAATGATTGAAAATTATAGGGAAGGGGGATGTTTTGGGTCAAAGAAGTGGAAAAACAAAAATTATCTAATAGGACCATCACAGAGTAACAGGTAACACATTTATCCTCCTACTACAAACCAACTATAAAATTGGTCTAATATATATAAGAACTGCTTTCAGGAACAAAACAAAGTGCATGAAGTCAGTTCCAAATTCACCCCAGATAGCTGCTTGGGGTACTTTCTGCACATGACAGAGAGTGCAGAGCCCAAATAGATCACAGTGATCTTGGCAGGTGGAGAAAACAGAGAGAGAAATTGAAAGATACTAAGATGATTACTGGGTATTGAAGGACAAGCTACTGGAGATTAGGGAGCTATTCAAAGAAAGGTCTCTAGAAATCTGTACAGGGCTCCTTTGCAGTTTCAGCTGAATACTGTTCTTCACATGCACAGGGTGCTAGCAGAAGTTGCACATTGCTTGGGAATGCTGGAGTTCTAACTAGCCAGAATAGGGGAATTCAGCCGCAATCTCAGGAATGCCACACCCTAGGAGTAGGACTAATCTATCCCCAGCATAAGGGTTACTCTAGACCAGCCCTAAAAGAGCCTAAGAAGATTCTTGGCAAGATAAAACTTCTCCACTAGTAAGTTAATTGTGTGCATAAACAATATTTGACACTAAAAAGGAAGACAACAAAATCCAGACCCCCAACAGCATAGCGTATCCACAATGTACTGCATTCAATAAACACAGGCACACCTGATTTTATCACACTTTTCTTTTTTGTTGTTGTTGTTGTGTTTTTTTATTTTATTTTATTATTATTCTTTAAGTTTTAGGGTATATGTGCACAATGTGCAGGTTAGTTACATATGTATACATGTGCCATGCTGGTGTGCTGCACCCATCAACTCGTCATCTAGCATTAGGTATATCTCCTAATGCTATCCCTCCCCCCTCCCCTCATCCCACAACAGTCCCCAGAGTGTGATGTTCCCCTTCCTGTGTCCATGTGTTCTCATTGTTCAATTCCCACCCATGAGTAAGAATATGCAGTGTTTGGTTTTTTGTTCTTGTGATAGTTTACTGGGAATGATGATTTCCAATTTCATCCATGTCCCTACAAAGGACATGAACTCATCATTTTTTATGGCTGCATAGTATTCCATGATGTATATGTGCCACATTTTCTTAATCCAGTCTATCACTGTTGGACATTTGGGTTGGTCCCAAGTCTTTGCTATTGTGAATAGTGCCTCAATAAACATACGTGTGCATGTGTCTTTATAGCAGCATGATTTATAGTCCTTTGGGTATATACCCAGTAATGGGATGGCTGGGTCAAATGGTATTTCTAGTTCTAGATCCCTGAGGAATCGCCACACTGACTTTCACAATGGTAGAACTAGTTTACAGTCCCACCAACAGTGTAAAAGTGTTCCTATTTCTCCACATCCTCTCCAGCACCTGTTGTTTCCTGACTTTTTAACGATTGCCATTCTAACTGGTGTGAGATGGTATCTCACTGTGGTTTTGATTTGCATTTCTCTGATGGCCAGTGACGGTGAGCATTTTTTCATGTGTTTTTTGGCTGCATAAATGTCTTCTTTTGAGAAGTGTCTGTTCATGTCCTTTGCCTACTTTTTGATGGGGTTGTTTTTTTTTTCTTGTAAATTTGTTTGAGTTCATTGTAGATTCTGGATATTAGCCCTTTGTCAGATGAGTAGGTTGCGAAAATTTTCTCCCATTTTGTAGGTTGCCTGTTCACTCTGATAGTAGTTTCTTTTGCTGTGCAGAAGCTCTTTAGTTTAATTAGATCCAAAAAGAATCCAGGACCAGATGGATTCACAGCCAAATTCTACCAGAGGTACAAGGAGGAACTGGTACCATTCCTTCTGAAATTATTCCAATCAATAGAAAAAGAGGGAATCCTCCCTAACTCATTTTATGAGGCCAGCGTCATCCTGATACCAAAGCTGGGCAGAGACACAACCAAAAAAGAGAATTTTAGACCAATATCCTTGATGAACATTGATGCAAAAATCCTCAATAAAATACTGGCAAACCGAATCCAGCAGCACATCAAAAAGCTTATCCACCATGATCAAGTGGGCTTCATCCCTGGGATGCAAGGCTTGTTCAATATACGCAAATTAATAAATATAATCTAGCATATAACAGAACCAAAGACAAAAAACACATGATTATCTCAATAGATGCAGAAAAGGCCTTTGACAAAATTCAACAACCCTTCATGCTAAAAACTCTCAATAAATTAGGTATTGATGGGACGTATCTCAAAATAATAAGAGCTATCTATGACAAACCCACAGCCAATATCATACTGAATGGGCAAAAACTGGAAGCATTCCCTTTGAAAACTGGCACAAGACAGGGATGCCCTCTCTCACCACTCCTATTCAACATAGTGTTGGAAGTTCTGGCCAGGGCAATTAGGCAGGAGAAGGAAATAAAGGGTATTCAATTAGGAAAAGAGGAAGTCCAATTGTCCCTGTTTGCAGATGACATGATTGTATATCTAGAAAACCCCATCGTCTCAGCCCAAAATCTTCTTAAGCTGATAAGCAACTTCAGCAAAGTCTCAGGATACAAAATCAATGTACAAAAATCACAAGCATTCTTATATACCAATAACAGACAAACAGAGAGCCAAATTATGAGTGAACTCCCATTCACAATTGCTTCAAAGAGAATAAAATACCTAGGAATCCAACTTACAAGGGATGTGAAGGACCTCTTCAAGGAGAACTACAAACCGCTGCTCAATGAAATAAAAGAGGATACAAACAAATGGAAGAACATTCCATGCTCATGGGTAGGAAGAATCAATATTGTGAAAATGGCCATACTGCCCAAGGTAATTTATAGATTCAATGCCATCCCCATCAAGCTACCAATGACTTTCTTCACAGAATTGGAAAAAACTACTTTAAAGTTCATGTGGCACAAAAAAAGAGCCCGCGTCGCCAAGTCAATCCTAAGCCAAAAGAACAAAGCTGGAGGCATCATGCTACCTGACTTCAAACTATACTACAAGGCTACAGTAACCAAAACAGCATGGCACTGGTACCAAAACAGAGATATAGACCAATGGAACAGAACAGAGCCCTCAGAAATAACGCCACATATCTACAACTGTCTGATCTTTGACAAACCTGAGAAAAACAAGCAATGGGGAAAGGATTCCCTATTTAATAAATGGTGCTGGGAAAACTGGCTAGCCATATGTAGAAAGCTGAAACTGGATCCCTTCCTTACACCTTATACAAAAAATTAATTCAAGATGGATTAAAGACTTAAACCTTAGACCTAAAACCATAAAAACCCTAGAAGAAAACCTAGGCATTACCATTTAGGACATAGGCATGGGCAAGGATTTCATGTCTAAAACACCAAAAGCAATGGAAACAAAAGCCAGAATTGACAAATGGGATCTAATTAAACTAAAGAGCTTCTGCACTTTTCTTTTCTTCCTTTTTTTTTTTTTTTTTTTGAGACGGGATCTTGCTCTGTCACCCAGGCTGCAGTACAATGGGCCAATCTCCACTCACTGCAACCTCTACCTTCCGGGTTCACACCATTCTCCTGCCTCAGCTTCCTGAGTAGCTTGGATTACAGGCATGTGCCAACATGCCAAGCTAATTTTTTTATTTTTAGTAGAGACAAGGTTTCACCACGTTGGCCAGGCTGGTCTCGAACTCCTGGCCTCAGGTGATGCACCCCACTTGGCCTCCCAAAGTGCCGAGATTACAGGAGTGAGCCACCATGCCCGGCCACACTTTGCTTTATTGTGCTTCCCAGATATCGCATTTTTTACAAGTTGAAGGTTTGTGGCAATCCTGCATCGAGCAAGTCTATGGGGACCATTTTTTCCAACAGTGTGTGCCCACTTCGTGTCTGTATGTCACATTTTGGTAATTCTTGCAACATTTGAAACTTTATCATTATTATTATGTCTGTTATGGTGATTGGTAATCAGTAATCTCTGGTGTTACTATTATAATGTTACTATTATAATTGTTCAGTAGCCATATGAGATGGCAAACTTAATCGATAAATGTTGTGTGTGTTCTGACCACTCTACTAACCAACCATTTCCCAGTCTCCATTTCTCAGCTTCCCTATTTCCTAAGACAACAATATTGACCATTTCTCAGCTTCCCTACTTCCTAAGACATAACAATATTGAAATTAGGCCAATGAATGGCCCCACAACAGTCTCCGGTGTTTCAGTGAGAGGAGGAATCATTCATTGCACATCTCTCACTTTAAATCAAAAGCTAGAAATGATTGCATTCAGTGAGGAAGGCATTTGAAAGCCAAGAGAGGCCGGAAGCTGGGCTTCCTATGCCAAACTGTTTGCCACATTGTAAACACAAAGGAAAAGTTCTTGAGGGCAATGAAAAATGCTACTCCAGTGAACACACAAATGGTAAAGTGAAACAACCTCGTTGCTAATATGGAGAACGTTTAAATAGTATGGATAGAGAAAACCAAACCAGCCACCACATTCCCTTAAGTACAAGCTTGATACAGGGCAAGGCCCTAACTCTCTTCTATGAAGGCTGAGTGACGTGAGGAAGCTGCATAAGAAAAGTTTGACCTGGGGTCATTGTAAAGCTTAGCACATTGTTTGATAGCCTGGGTTAGTGGGAAGATTTGTAAAGACTTGATCTAAAATAAATTAGCTGTTGTCTTGAAGAAAATATAAGAAAACAAAAACAACACCCCAAAAGCAAAAATCTCTTAGCTGTTATGTATGAGCCAATAAGAGCCAAATCTCATAGCTCTTATGACAGTGGACTGATGGTTTCCCTGATATCCTGCTCAGTGGAGTGACCTTGGCATTGATTAAGGTATTAGAAATAACGCATTAGGCTTCATGAAAGAGCACTCCTGCCCTTTGCTTCCTGTTGTGGTCTCTAGACCACTCACAGGAAAGCACCAACACAACAGTTCCTATCTGTGATTCCAAAGGAGGGCCGTTTTCTCACACTTTTTTATATCTTCTGATGGGTCAATGGTTTCTGGCTTTTAATGGTGAACTGCCACATAGAGAAACAAGCACATTGGCTAAAATAGTTGACTGTCAGTTGACAGGAAAAATGAAAATCATAGAAGGTTGCTATTTTATTGCCATCTGTTGATCCAATTTTTGATAGAATTCTCATGCTATGATTTTACTTCATTCATTCATTCTTACACAAAATATTTCTTAAATATTTGTTTTATAATAGGTGCTGTTATGAGTGCCGAGGATACCATGGTGATTAAAATAAAGACACCAAGTCTCTGCCCATTAAGGTTCAAAGTCTAGTGAAGGGAAGAGATAATGAACAAACAATGTCAGTTATCTACAAGGACTATGAAAAATAAACATGTTGTACGTGGATTGAGAAAGATGGGGATGAAAATAGTATTTTAGGTAGGCTGGGCAGGGGAAGGCTTTCTGGAGAGATCTTTGAGCAGAGACTTGACTGAAGTGAAGGCGTACGTCCCAGGGAATTGTAGGAAGCGAGTTCCAAGCAGAGAGACCAACAAGTCTGAAGACTGAGTGTGGAGTGAGTTTTGTGTGTTCACAGCCCAGCAAGAGGCCCAAGGTGCCTCCTATTAAGTAAGAGAGGACAGAAAGTGTAAGGCAGAGATATAAGCAGAGGCCAGGCCATCTATTCTCAGAATGATGGGAAAGCAATAGGTTTAATTGTCAGTGTCGTAAATTAAATCTTACCTAGACTTTGGCCAAGTCCCATCTCAACTAAATGTCACCAAGTAGAGAATGGTGGTATTTATCCATGCACCCCCTCCCACCTCCACCAAATGGCTTTCATTAAAACTGAATTTCTGCCCAGGTTTACAGCTAGGGAAACCTAAATTCATTCTTTGGAAATATATAGCAACTTAGAAGCCATGGCTTCCAAACATAAAACGCTGGACTACATTTAAAACTAGAAAAATGCCTGTCTTATTATAACCATAGTATTATTTCTTTAAAAATGAAACAACAGAAGTAATCCACCCCCCACCAACACACACAAAATAAGCAGATCAAGCCAAAGACCTCTGTGTTTTAAACAACCTTCATTTTAGGCAACACCAGGAGTAAACTTCCTCAAAGAAACCTATTTGAAACTTCAGATACTCTCAGCCTATGTGGATCCCATGACAAGATTTTGGTATTTTGGAATATATATCAAATTGTTCTTTTTGGGGAGACAGGAGTGCTGGTTATGTGCACGTAATTATGATTCAGAGAAGTGTTTGGCAAGTTTAGCCATATTGCATCTTGGAGATGTGATGTAATTATGTAGTTGAACCTATTCATCTCTTTAATTACTCTTCCTCCCTACCAGAAAAACCGCTCTGTATTAGTCCATTTTTATGCTGCTGATAAAGACATACCCAAGACTGGCTAATTTATAAAGAAAAAGAGGATTAATGGACTCACAGTTCCACAGGTGGCTGGGAGGTGAAAGGCATGTCTTACATGGTGGCAGGCAAGAGAGAGCTTGTGCAGGGGAAATCCCCTTTATAAAATCATCAGATCTCATGAGACTCATTCACTATCACGAGAACAGCATGGGAAAGATCCGCCCCCCGTGGTTAAATTACTTCCCACTGGATCCCTCCCACAATAGGTGGGAATTGTGGGAGCTACAATTCAAGATGAGATTTGGGTGGGGACACTACCAAACCATATCATGATCTATTGGAAAACAAACTATATTGGCAAGCCGGCTCACCACAATATACTAAATAATGTGTTATACTAATAAAAGGAAATCTAAATATCATCTTTAAAAAAGGAAACCAACAACCTTGGGGAATTATACACCCAGACAATATAGAGTACTGGTGGTCTTTTTGTTCTGTCATAAGTTTTGGCCCAAACGGCAACAGTCCCAAAGGCTTCACATCCTTCCATCTCAGGCTCTGTATCTTCTTGGCCAGAGTCCTCCTATGAGGCTGTCTTCTGCTGTCCCTCAGATGGCACTTCCATTGGGTCCACTCTTCTCAAAGACCTCAGGCTTTGGGGGTCACCCTGATCTGCGTTATTAACTTAGCCATGCTCCGTTTCCCTAGTCTATAAAACTGAAGTAATAACATTCATTGATTCATGTGTCCTTTCAACGCATAGTTGCAGAGTGCTTTCTGTACTGCAGATCTGTGCTGTGCGCTGGGCATGCCATGGCCTGTGAGAAAGGAATGGTTCTTGTTCTCATAGCATGCACAGCCTGGTATGGGACACAGACTGTTAAACAGCAATACCAGATGAGCGTAATAAAGGCTATGGTAAGTAATTAAGGCCTCAGAGAAGCACTTAATCTTATCCACAGCATCAGAAACAAATGTGCCTGACTGAGTGAGTGCTAAGCTAAGATGCAAATGGTGAATGGGAACTTATTAAACAGACATGAAGAAGCCTGTGTGAAGACCCAGCAGCAAGAATGGTCTTGGGGACTGGATAATAGATGGGGTTTTAGAATAGTTGGGGCAAAGCCTGCAAGAGGAGAATGTCACAGAATGCAACTGGAGACCAAGGGCTCAAGTCATAAAAATCCTTTAAAATATCCCAAGAGTCTGGATTATACCAAAGGGCCATGGGAATATGCGATGCTTTTAAGCAAGGAAGTCACATCATCCAATTTGTGTCTTAGATCCTTTAGGTCCCTGAGTGAAGAATGAATTCAAGTGGGACAGTTCGTGGCAGGTAGACCAGTTAGGGGGCTGAGAAATCTAAATAAGAGGCAATATGGGCCTTGTCCTAGGTTGGGTTCCCTTGAAAGTAGAGTGTGAGGCACAGAATTGGCTGGCAGGTTATTTATTTGGGATGTCATTCCTGGATCCCAGAATGGAAAGAATGAGATTAGAAAGGGAGAAAAGAAAATCAGTAAAAGTTGCTTTAATGAGCTGGTTGCTGCTATGGGCAACTGGAGCTCATTCCTACTGGGAGCCTTCTAAGGAATCACGTAGAACAGTGGTTCTTGAAGTGTGGTCTCTGTACCAGCAGCCTCAGCATCACCTGGGAGCTCATTAGAAAGGCAAAATATTGGATTCCACCCCAGATGTACTGAGTCAGAATCACTGGAGACAAGGTTTAGCAATGTGTGGTTTAATCAGCTCTTCAGGTGATTCTGATGCCCTCTAATGTTTGAGAAGCGCAGGCACAGAGCAGGCCTCATAATTGCCCCACTGGATCGGAGGAAACTGAGGCAGAGGCAGAGAATTTATACCCTGACTCCTGTCCCTCAGTGATGGACAATTGTTTTTCACATGTCAAGGTTGCACCAGTAAGGTGGGTAAAGGCTCATGACTTCTGAGAAGGCCTGAGACAGCAAAGAGAGGGCCGCATCCCCTTAGTGCAGTGTCCTGGCAAAGTGTGTGGAGGTGGAGCTGTCCTCCCAGAGGTGCTGAAGCCGGGTGGACAGAGGGGCTGTGCCCCTTTCCCACATAACCAGACTACTCACTGTGACTGGGGTGTGGCAGTGGAGATGCAGAGAATTTGAGGATACATTTTCAAGAAATAATCATCAGCACCTGATAAAAAGAAATGAAAGAAGAGGATATGAAAGGAAATTCCATTTTTCTTTTTTGAGGACCTTAATGGATGGTGAACAGGAACAGGTACCATTTTGGAAACTTGAATTAGAGGTACCTGTGATATAAGCTAATGATGGAAGGATATGGTGCTCTACACACCAAGGGAAGATAAAGGCAATCATCGTGATGGGAGTGGGTGAAATAGCTCAGGAGGTTTGTTGAGTAAGATGTGGAGAAGATTGAAGACAACACCCTGAGAAGAAGGAGAGGGCCACAGTGGGGGATCCTCTCTTTAATAAGCAAGCAAAGTAAGAATTGTCTTGAGGGCAATTCTGGGAGGGGTCAAAGGATGGAACTAGGAGTACGTGAAACCCACTGAGTACTCAGGAAATGCTCACTTTCATTACTAAGTGACTCCTTGTGGGGGCTCCTGATTCTTTTAGGACAATTTCTTAGGCTGCCATTTTGTAGAAAAAAAGTATCTAGGTCGAATATTAATAGTTTCTTTAAAAAATATCTGCACTTTTTAAAAAATAAACTGCTGCTTACTTTAAAAAATTGGGAACTTTGTTGTCCCTAGGGATAATGGTCATTCTCATATGCTTAGAGCATATGAGAATGATGTCATTAGTTACATGTTAAACACTGGGTCCTCATTCAGACACTCCCCTGCCCTGGAATTTTAATCTTAGCTGGTGATGCAGCTGTCTCAAAGTGATGACAACCCCCAGGGGACCATATGCCTGTTGTCTTCACATTAGGCTCTGGGCAGGCAAAGAAATTTGTTTAGAAACTTATTACTACTTTTCCCAGGAATCCATCACCTCTAATTTTGCCAGGCAGAACTCAACCCAAGCATATTCTTAAGGTGTCAGATCTGAGGGGTGTGGCCTCAGGTCTTCTTGATGTAAGTACATGGATGTTCCCAGTCTTAGAGTTCTTATTGTAACTCACAAGTTCACTTTCATGAAAGGGACCTACGTATTCACTGGTACACGATAATAAATCACTTAGGGATTGAATATTTACATTCATGACAGTCTTCTGTCAAAATTTAAAGGAAATGTATATGATTTGGCTTATTCATGCACTTAGTAAAATATAGCATTTTCCTCAAGGTGGTCTCAAGTTGCATGGTATATCAGCCAAAGACCAAACATCTGAGCTATTAATTATTCTCTTTGCTATAAAAATTAAGAAGCTCACTTACTGCAGAAGCTTCTTTCTTAGGTCTTCATGTGACTGTAAATCACTGGGGTATCTGAAGAGAGAATTCCAATCTATGAGCAAAGAGGTGTACGTGGGAAATCCCCTGGCTACTCCTACCAGGGTCAGAAACAGTTTTCAATGATACGGGGTAATTATTCTACTAATTTAGGGACCGTTTTTATCTGTAACTACCTTATACTTACCGTATTTCTATGGTTGTTTCTCATATACACTTCTTTGATGAGATTTTAAGGAACATTTCGTTGGATTAGAACCAAATTGAGGGGAGGAGTAATGGATCAATTATGATTAGACATGCTTCCAGAGGGAATGCAAGAGATTTTCTACCCTGTCCATTGATGAGCAATTTCTTGCTCTTGGCAGAACTTGAGCCAAATGGAGCACAGAATGTGGATGGCTGCAGATTTTCCTTCCACCCTGCAGAGAATAATTTTGGCATGGTGTCTTCAACTTTGTCACCTGCTCTTGAGTTGATTGGTCACTTTTACTAGAAAACTTAGCTCTAAATAATCTCTACCATATTTCTTAGAGATAATTTCCTCACTCAGAGATAGTCATTCCTTATTATCTTATTTTAAATATATTTTCATTTTCTTAAATACATTTTGTCTCCGAATACCATCTACATGAAGTAACATTGCTTATCACTTAAGCAATATCTCAGAAACCCATTGGCTGTGTAAATTATTTATTTCATTTGCAAGTTGGGAACTTTGCTCATCAAGAATATGTCAGGCCGTGCGCAGTGGCTCACGCCTGTAATCCCAGCACTTTGGGAGGCTGAGGCTGGTGGATCACGAGATCAGGAGTTCAAGACCAGCCTGGCCAAGATGGTAAAACCCCATCTCTATTAAAAATACAAAAAAATTACCTGGGCGTGATGGCAGGCACCTGTAATCCCAGCTACTCAGGAGGCTGAGGCAGAGAATTGCTTGAACCTGGGAGGTGGAAGTTGCAGTGAGCAGAGAACATGCCACTGCACTCCACCTAGGCAACAGAGTAAGACTCCATCTCAAAAAAAAAAAAAAAAGTAAAAGCTAAACATACCTGCATTTACTAAATTAATCAACACTCTTACAGCAGTTAATATCTCCACAGTTCTGAGAACTTTTCTAATCTTAATTTATTTGATCATCTTAACAATCCTTAAAATGAGTTCCATAATCATCTCCAATTTTCAGATAAGTAAATTGAGACCAAGAGCCATTTTACAGTTTGCACAAAATTGCCCAACAGGAAATAGAAAAGCTGGACACCAAGCCAATGTGTTTAACACTTGGCTTTATGCTGGTAGTCATTATTTTCTGGTGCTTCTTCATGTGTAAATCATTCTACAGAAAGTAAAGCTAGAAAATTAAAAGCAATATTTTCTCCAGAAACACTGCGGTGAATTCCATCTCTGGCTGCTTCTTGTGTCTTGACATTTTCCCTTCCTCCTTTGTTATTTTATGGCCAAAGCGATCGTCACGTTGGCTCAGATCATTGTAACAAGCTTCTAAGCCCCTTGCTAACTTAGGCCCTAACCATCTTCTCAGTCTATCATATGTGGCAGCTGAGTTCCTATCTACCTGTAACACATAGGCTCACATTTATGTCTCAAAATTAAGAATTCTGTATCTTGCAAGGCTGATGAGATTAGCCTTACCAGGAATTTCTAAGTATCTACTATATGGTGTAGATAATTCATCTCTTCTCACATAGTTTATGACTGCCTCACTGAAAGTCTACCCTGTAATGAATCGCTGATCTGCTGGGAAAGATACGGGGATTAGAATACTTTCAGATGCTACCTTTTCTAAGAGATGTGATACATATTAAAATCCTAATGGCTTATCTCAAAAAATATGCTTTCTTTGGGGAGATATGTTTTAAGTGAAATCATGTTTATGTTTTAGGTAGGGATGGTTCTTTACAGCACCTCACAACATTCACCAGATAAGCAGTCACTTAATATCTTGTTTTTTATAGGCACACTAGAAAACCTTTATGGTACTTCACTGCAACTACTCTCCACAGTCCCCCTTTGGCCCACCGTGGTGCTGACATCTGGCATAACGGACTATGTGTTCTCACCAGAATTTTGGGAAAAGTTCAGTCCCACATTGTATTCTCGATTGCCTTTACGAGGTGCCTGTTATTTCTCACTTTATCTCCTGGTAGAGGAAAAATCAACATCGAATACTTTGACCAGTTCACATCCAAGATGAATACTTATATTTGATAATTACTATTTGAGGCACAAATATATATTTGATCTACTTTTTTTTTTTTTTTTTTTTTTTTGAGATGGAGTTTGACTCTTGTTGCCCAGGCTGGAGTGCAATGGCATTATCTCAGCTCACTGCAACCTCCGCTTCCCGGGTCCAAGCAATTCTCCAGCCTCCGCCTCCTGAGTAGCTAGGATTACAGGCATGCGCCACCACACCCAGCTAATTTTGTATTTTTAGTAGAGATGGGGTTTCTCCGTGTTGGTCAGACTGGTCTCAAACTCCAGGCCTCAGGTGATCTGCTTGCCTCGGACTCCCAAAGTGTTGGGATTACAGGCATGAGCCACCGCGCCCAGCCTGATCTGTTCTTTAAATGGTGATTCTGATTCAATTTTCCATTGAGGGAATTTCTGTATATTTTTGATAACACAATTAAAAGCAAAATATTCCATCCCTTTGATTTAGTCAAACTTCCTCCCTCGAGGCCAGTTTTCCCTAGTTCAAAGGGCTTTTACCTGTGACAAAAGCTCATTGATATGAATCAGAAAATTTTTCAGCACTGAAATTACTCCCTTAATTTGTCCCAAACTGCCAATAGTGTTTTTATTGTCCCATGTGTATGAAACAGTCTTCATATTTTAATATTCATTAAAATGATTCAGTTTCTTAGAATCATACCTTTACTCAGTTTCTGGTCTAGTCTTAATTACTGGTGACATTTCTCTCTTTTCAGTTCCTCCCAAGTTTGTGGTTCAGCCACGGGACCAGGACGGGATTTATGGCAAAGCAGTCATCCTCAATTGTTCTGCTGAGGGTTACCCTGTACCTACCATCGTGTGGAAATTCTCTAAAGGTATGGAGTTACTTGATCTACTTGTTACCTGTCAAACATTTGCTATGTTCTAAAGGATTAGATAAGCATTTCTAGATTTCCAGAGAAGTTTCTTGCAAGTAGATACGTATCTCTGTTTCCACCAAGCCTATCATTCTCTCATAGACATTCCTAGTTGTCCACCTAGGTGTTTTTATTCAGACACACAACGTGTCTGTTGTACATAACATGCCCTTGGAAAGGCCACAGAGGGATGGAAGTCTTTTGTGTAGATTGTTTCAGCACTTAGGAAGTCCTACCTTGCCCACCTGTATTACATAACCATGGTCTGCTTAGAGATCACTGCACACTCGTACATGAAGAGATGTGAGTTTAAATTGTCAGAACTACTCATAGCTGGAAAACTATTTCCCCAGTATTTAGAGAGATGAGTGGGTTTAGAAAGTTAAAGATAATATCATTGATTGTTTTATTCCCCTTATTACCTTAGAATATACAGATTACACGTCATCTCCTTGGCGTGCTCTTTTTAAAAACAAACACGCCCAATGTCCTATTGCGATTGTCTCATGTTCCCTGCTTGCACCCCTAATCATGTTTCCTCTTCTAATGCAGAACAGTAGCTCCTGGGTTTTAGGTGACATTGTAGATATTATGCAAGTAGAAATGTATGACATGGAAACGAAGAGTGGAATCATGTTAGACTTTGGAAAAACAATTTCTGTTCATTAGGGTGGCTTCTTCAGAACGCCTCCTTAACGGTACTTGCAAACATATTGGAAGTTCTCTTTCTTTTCTCATTTAGACACTTGAATTCAGTACTATATTAGTTGAGGGCCAGATATGTACTGGTGAGATCAAATAATCAGTCAATCATGACCTTTTTTTTTTTCCAATAACCTAAGACCTAGTATCTAGGTTTAATTATTGTGAGGTATTTGTATTTGTGTTGACTTAATCATCATTTATACTCTAGATCTTTCTTTTTTAAAATAGCATGTTGCATTTTCTCATTATGGAAGCAACAATGACCAAAGGAAAAATAAATGGTACATTTGTTGCAACCCTCCTGGCATCTCTCTTTTGAGAAGGAAGGTAAAGAAGTGGGGAAGGTTGCTAGACACTGTCTGATTGGGAAAATAGCTAAATTTTTAAAAGTCCCTGAAGCAACTCCCCTGTCACACACCACACACCACATCCACTGTCCATGTGCAAAGGACTTCTTCAAAAATAAAATCCTGTTATTCAGAGTCTCTGCCCCCATGACTTTTTATTTCCTGCCGTATTTGAAGCTCCATTGTGCATTATTACATGGAAACAGATAAACATCATAAATTTAATTTAGTTTCTATGGAAGTGCATATTTGATATTATGGACATTTTCCATGACATTTGCCTTCTTCAACATTATTTTTAATGCCTGTCGTTATGCAGGTGTTCTCTCTCTCCCTGAGGGTGTTTACAGTTTTCACTCTCATAAACACTCCAGCAAATGAACACTCCTGTATGTTAATTCAATGCGCATATGTGTAAGTGAAGTGAAAAGGCACCAGCCATATACAAGGCTCTTACTCTGTACTGCCCAAGGGCACTTAGGCCACCAACAGTATGGGTGGGTAAATGTGGCCCAGCATCCTCACCAACTAGATAACATTTTTTTTAAATAGTCTTTACAACCTGATGGTTGAAAATGCCCTCTCATTTTAATTTGCATACTTAGATTGTTAATGTTGTTTAACATGTTTTATCTTATGTTAACAGACCACTTCTACTTCTCCTTTGGGAAATTTCTTATTCATGTTACTTGCACGCTTATCTCTATGTCTTATTTATTTGGAAGTGTTTCTACATAGATTAAATAATACTTTGTCTGTCTTGGATGTTACTGACATTTTATCCCTTCTTACCACTAACTTAAAAATTAGGTTGTAATAGTAGCTTTTTTGTCTTTAAATTTCATATCCAATATCAAGTCATCAAAGAAAAAAATTAGAAATTGCAATTTTTTAAAAAGTTAAATTCCCCCCAATAACATCACTCAAAGATGATCAAAGATAACTGCTGCAAACATTTTTTGTCTCTAGACTGTCAGTCCTGTCCCCAAGCAATTGCATACCCATAGATACACATTATACATTTTTAAAAGTTTGATGATTGTTGCTGGCTTATAATCTTTCTTCAGTCAACAATATACTATGTATGTCTTGCCATAACAACAAATATGGTGCTTAATATGACTTTTTTTTTTCTGGAGACAGAGTCTTGCTCTGTCGCCCAGGCTGGAGTGCAGTGGTGCGATCTCAGCTCACTGCAACCTCCGCCTCCTGGGTTCAAGCAATTCTTCTGCCTCAGCCTCCCAAGTAGTAGCTGGGATTACAGGTGTACACCACCAAGCCTGGCTAATTTTTTTGTATTTTTAGTAGAGATGAGGTTTCACCATGTTGGCCAGGCTGGCCTTGAACTCCGTGACTTTTTAATGTCTGTGTAATGTTTATTGTAGTACATCAATAATTACGTTTATCTAATTACTTTAGTTAAGATTGAGTTCAGCCACTTAAATTCACAAGGGTTTATTTTTCTCATAAGAGGACTCTGGATGTCGACAGCTCAGGACTAGTTTGTTGGCTTGGCTAAGTCATCAGGCACCCAAACTCCTTATGTGTTAGGAAGAGTTCTGCCTCTCCTAGCAGCATTCTTCATCCTCAAACGATGGCCACCAAGCTATAGTGTCAACTTCCTTTCACATTTCCCTGTAGGAGGAAGAGCAAAGGGAGATGGCTGCCCCTCCCACACGACTCACCTCCCTTTAAGGTCCTTTCCAGAAGTGCATCACAGATCAATTTTGCCAGCATCTCTCTGGATCGCTGGCCGGGTCGCCCCTGGCTATAAAGGGTCCGTAAGCCATCATGGACATAATGTGTGTTATTTTCCTAAGTCAGAGGGGGTGTTGGATACCTGGCAACTGGATATCTCCAACACTATTGTTGAATGTCATATTTTTGGTTTTTGCCAGTTTTTCTTTTAGAAAAATATCGTAATGGGCCAAGTGCAGTGGCTCACACCTGTAATCCCAGCACTTTGGGAGGCCAAGGCAGGCGGATCATGAGGTCAGGAGATCAAGACCATCCTGGCTAACACGGTGAAACCCCGTCTCTACTAAAAATGCAAAAAAATTAGCCACGCGTGGTGGCGGCCACCTGTAGTCCCAGCTACTCAGGAGGCTAAGAATGGCATGAACCCGGGAGGCGGAGCTTACAGTGAGCTGAGATCACGCCACTGCACTCCAGCCTGTGCAACAGAGCGAGACTCCATCTCAAAAAAAAAAGGAAAAGAAAGATATCATAATGACTTCTAATGACTTCTGTCACATTTATCTTTGTATATGTGTTCATTTATCCCTGGGGATAAATTTCTATAAGTAGAGTTGCTGGCTCAAGGAGTAAATAATTTTTATAACTTTCAATATGTATTGACAATTTGCCAGCATTTTATTCATTTACACAACTCACCTCAGTTTGCAGTAGTGTCTGTCTCTTATAACCAAAATAATACTGGATATTAGGCTTTTTTTTTTTGACATTTTCCAATCTGATAGAGAAATATGGTATATTGTTATTTTAATTATGCAAGCAGTAAATCTATTTCTTAAGAACAATTTAGCCTTGCTTATGGAACATGTTTTCTTTCAATGAAATGATCACTAAGAGCTGAAGTGCAGCTCCCTCATAAATGACAAAACTGTATAAACAAAACAGATTCAGCTTGTTTCCTTGAGAGATGCAACAGTTTAATTCAGGGGAGGCAGAATTCCAGGGTAAATCACTGCAGTTTAAAGGTAGCTATTGTAGAAATGAAACAATCTTTGCTACAAAAAAAAAAAAAAAAAAAAAGTCATTACATTTTTGACCTTGGGTCTAGATACACAAAGTCTGAGACATTCAGTTCTCTTTTTTGATTTATTTATTTACATGAACAAATGAGGCCTCTTGCCTAAAAGAGATTTAAAAAAAAAAAATCAGGGCTTCATTCTGAGGTGGGTCTCACCTGTACTCCCAGAAGTCCACAGCTTAATGCCATTCTCTTGCATGTATGTCACTTATACTGGAGGGAAAATAGTTCAGGGCCATCTCCTTGTTACCTGCTGAGAAGCGAAGAGGGACTGCAAATGCGAGAGAATAGATGATGCATCAGCCTGGGGCCTGGCCTGGGCCTCCTTTGCTCTCTCTGGCTGTCCATAGAGTCTCTGACCTTCAGGGAAACTTGGTTGTGGGAATGTCCAAAAAGAAGAGTCAGAGCATGCCTGGGGGGTGACGCTGGAGGACAATGGGGAGTAGTTTGCATTTAAAATAGCATTGTCAAAATACCCCAGGAGTAGGGAAAGTCTGAGGAAAGACTTAAAGACAGATGAGTCCTGTGCTCCTGTCCTCCGAGGGAGACCGGAAGGTGAGGGGCCAGCTAGTTCCCAAGAGTTGGGGGTAGGGGGCGAGGCCGGGAGGTTGATGCCTGGAATGATCCAGAAACACCAAGGAGGACATTACAGCTGTGGCAGAGTTAGTGAAAGGAAGTCCTGGGAGAGGAGACTCCTGCACTGGGTCCCCATCAGTCATTGTAAGGACCTGGCTCTGCCCAAGTGGGGAGTGGGTATGGTGAGCAATGAGAGTGGTGATGGTGATGCGGTCTCTTCAGCTGCTGCTGTGCTGAAGCCAGAAGCTAGGAGGCTAGCTGGGTAATTGGAGAGAGATGGTGTGATCTGCCTCATGCTTTAAAAGGATCACACTGGCATGCTGTTTTGAAAGCAGACTGTGTGAAGGACAGGAATTTCAGCCGGAGAGCTGTTCTAAGGCCTTGGCCGGGATGTGGCCGGAACCAGGGTGACTGCAGTGGAGGAGGGACAAATGGATTCTGAATGTCTTTGAGTGATGGACATACTATGGGTGTGACAAAAGGGGAGAACCCCAGGCAGTGAGGATAGTGGAAGTGCCGGTGACAGACAGGACGACTCCAGGAGGGCAGACCTGTGGCTGGGGTAAGATCAGGGTTTTGGGCTCCTCTCTATGCAGATACAGCTGTCAATTTCCAATATAAGCAATGATAAATTTTCTAAATATCCTAGATTTTGATGAATATTTTCTGCATTGTCAGAGCTTAGACCCTCTATGTTCTGTTCTGCAGCCATATGCCCAACTTTTGCAATTGCCAGTTCTGTGTTAGATTGATTTTGTGCTCAGTATGAGTTATTTGGACATAGTGAAGAATATTCCAACCTCTTTCTGGTTTGCAATGGTTTGTTCCTTGCCTTTTTACACCCAAAGGACAGATATTGGCGGCTCACACTGTCTCCTTGGAGGGAGCACAGACTGCCTGATTTCCCTGTAGAAGGAACTTAATCTTTTTGGTTCTGTGCACCAAAGAGCTGACTTTGAAGTCTGGTAGTTTATTTTCTTTTTTTATTTTTGTGATGGAGTCTCGCTCTGTTGCCCAGGCTGGAGTGCAGTGGCACGATCTTGGCTCGCTGCAACCTCCACCTCCCGGGTTCAAGAGATTCTTCTGCCTCAGCCTCCCAAGCAGCTGGGACTATAGCCATGCACTACCATGCCCAGCTAATTTTTGTATTTTGGGTAGAGATGGGGTTTCACCATATTGGCCAGGCTGGTCTTGAACTCCTGACCTCGTGATCCACCCAACTCGGTCTCCCAAAGTGCTGGGATTACAGACGTGAGCCACCGCACCTGCCCTGAAGTCTGGTAAATTTTTAGTCTATAATTTGGTGTTTTCCATTTGGGGTCAATTTTCCCATAGATGTGGTGCATCTATTTAATATGTAGATTCAGGTTATTTTAAAAAATATTTTTCCCATGAATTGTATCTCTAAGTGTTCTCTTCCCTGCTTTAATTTTCTTCTTCAGGGTCTCTGATTGTGGTTCCATAGGATTGCCACCTAGTCTCTGTAGCTGTCATTTTCTCTCTGGTTTTTTAACTCATTGATTTCCATTTTAATTTGTTCGATATTTTTCCATTTCTGTTCTCCATGTCTTTTCCCCAGCAAGGTCTGTTCTTCTTTGTGCCAACTCCGGTTCTGCCTTCACTGCTGTGAGTTTATATTTTTTCTCCTTCTTTCTCTCCAGCTCTGCCAGCTCACAGTTCACCCTTCTTCAGCCATGGCTTTATAGACAAGTGACTGTTTTATTCACAGTCTTCATCTAAGTCGTAATACCTGGTTTCTTGTTCTGTTTTTTTCTTCTATTTTGCTTATTGTATCTTTGCTAGGTCTTGGTTTCCTTTCGAATACAGCAGCCCCAAGACCCCCAGGGGATGACTGAACCTTGGGGAGCACCAAACCCTACATATACTATGCGCTTTCCTACACATGCATACCCCTGATAAAGTTTAATTTATAAATCAGGCACAGTAAGAGATTGACAAAAATTATGAGTACTAGAATAAAATTATTATTACAATGTACTGTAATAAAAGCTATGTGAATGTGCTGTCTCTGTCTCTCTCAACATATCTTATGTGTCTATACTCCCCTATTTTAAGACTGTAATTGACCTCAGGTAGCTTAAACCATGGAAAGTGAAAATGTGGATGAGGGGGAACTACTGTACTTACATTTGAAGAAAATCCATGTCCCCAGAAAAAGATTGTTGTGTACAAATGCCTGATTCCTCAGCTAACCCTACTTCTAAAATTCTAAGCCACATCAGGCCTGGGGAAGTGCCACCCACACCCACCTATGCACACTGTTTTCACTGATGGAGGCTTGGCTCTCACCTGTGACCCACTCTGCTGGGACTTCTGAAGTTCACAGCGGTGGCCCTGATTCCCTCATCTTCCTGCATGCTCTTCTGCTCAATTACCCTGTTGGTTGCCCATTTACCCATTCTGTAGCTGGAAGTTTAGCTATTTTCTAATTTCATAGGAAATAGAGGTTACATTTTTCTAGGCTTCTCTCTCCCATTTGCTTTCATGTTGTTCCCAGGAAGAGAAGAAGTGCTGGTTTATGCCTCCATCTTCAAATATGAAATTCTATTGTTTATATACAAAGGGTCATTAAATTTGGACTTGATTTTAGTAAAATAAATAAAGTAGGAATCTAGGAGGAGGAGTAGAAATCATCAGTTAGGAGACTGGGCTATAAGTTCAAACCCCAGCCATAATACAACCCTGTCTGGTTGGGTGACTGCATGTAAATTACCTACCCCATATGAACCACAGCATCCTTGCAGCTGAAACAGATAAAATAAGGGGATAAATGTGATGATTTAGTAAGATGACTCATAGAAAGCATTTATTATGGCTTCTGGCACATAGCCATTAGTCAGTATGTATTAGCTATTATTAATATCATTATTGCCATTATCATGAACTTACATGGTTAGCCATTTGTCCTAAAACCATTTATTGAAGAGCCCAAACTTTTTCATTTGCGATACCTTATTGTCTAAGGGGAAAATGTGAATACTGGAGTCTGTGTTTCAGCCTTCTCTCTGTTACACTCAATTGCCTGTTCAGCACCATACGTATTAGAAGTTTATCTCCTTCTATTTTAATGTCTGTTTTGACAATACTCCCCTTGTGACTTTTATTTTTCAAAAATGTCCTTGCTTTTTCTGCATGGATTTTTGTTTGTTTGTTCCTTCTAGATGCATATTAAGATAACTTTATCAAGTTTCCAAAAAATCTGGAAAATTTGGAGGATCATAAATTTAAAGCTTAACGTGAAGAATGCTGATGTCATTAGAATATTGAGTCTTCCCAGCCAATACCATGGATAGTCCTTTCATGTATCCAAGTTTTTCTTTTATGAACATTAATAATTTTATTGCATTCTTTCCATTTGTCAGTGGTAGTGAATTTTTATAAGCTACGGCATCTGGTTTTCTTTTGTCCTCCTTGGTTTTCTGGGCGGAAAGGGGTCAAGAGCTGTCTACAGCCAATCTTTGTTGAGCTTGTCCTTATGTAGCTGTCCACATCTCTTTCTTCTCCCAGCAAGGGTAATGCTGTTCTTAATTTAGAGGAGTTTCTATTTTCCCCACTCTGTAGCTCATACTAAGGGCTGCAATGGTGTGTGACTCTATTTCTTCCTGTCTCTCTTGAGATTGTATTTCTCCCTGCCCCTTTTCCTGTGTCCTTTCTGCTCATTGTAGTTTCCCCAATTCCATATTTCCCTGGAGGCTCCAGAGAATCCACCATTATTTGGTGCACACACAGGTTTGCTTTAGCTCCTCCTTCTCCTACTGCACCCAGACAAGCTGCTGGAGGCTGTCACTTCTGCACTCACCACGCACAGTCCCCCAGAGGGCCTGGCTGTCCCTTACCACTAGGGCCCTAAAAGCACCCTCTTCTGCTCAGTGTCAGCCCACCTGGAGAAATCCTCCCCTGTGGTTATAGACTCATCACAGGGGGCAACAGGAACTTGATTCTTTTGTTGAGAGATTCATAGAAATAAAACTAGGCACTCCAGACAGTTAACTAAACGTTTCCATGCAAGATGGAGGGGAAAACACATGCTGTGCTCAATACTGGCCAAACTGCTCAGGTGACCCTCTCTGGAGTCCCCTCCTACTTTAGGGGCATGCCCTGGAAAGGCTCACCTTGATCCTGCCCACAACTTCCCTCCCAATGTCCAGGGGACATCCCTGGAACCTTCTGTAGTCCTCATGGCCTATGTCTCAGAAGACCATGAGAAATATGAGGGAAAGGACAAGCCTAAGTCCCTCAAGCAGGTTAATTCTAGAGCAGATTTTCTGCCAACACCAGTTTCAGACCTCTCTGGTGAGATGACCAAGTCAGTCCCTTCCTCAGCAGTCAAGAGAGGGCTCACACTGCAGATCACCTGTTAATCACACTGTGATCACACTGCACATCATACTGCAGATCACACTGCAGAAGACCCTGCAGATCACACTGTGGATCACACTGTGGATCATGCTGCAGATCATGCTGCAGACCACCTTGAGATCACACTGTGGATCATACCGTGGATGACATTGCAGATCACCTGCAGATCACACTGCAGATCACACTGTGATCACACTGCAGATCACACCGCAGATACCTGCAGATCATACTGCAGATCACACTGTGGATCACACTGCAATCACACTGCAGATCACACCATGGATCACACTGCAGATCACAACGTGGATCATACTGCAGATCATGCTTCAGATCCACCTGTGGATCACACTGCAGATCACACCTTGGATCACACTGCAGATACCTGCAGATCATACTGCAGATCACACCATGGATCACACTGCAGATACCTGCAGATCATACTGCAGATCACGCTTCAGATCCACCTGTGGATCACACTGCAGATCACACCATGGATCACACTGTGGATCACACTGCAGATGACACTGCAGATCACACTGAGGATCACCTGTGGATCACACTGCTGAACACACTGCAGGTTGTACATTCAAAAGATAAGTCTGGAAAGAAGCAAATTATCAAGAGACAGAAATTTGCTTAAATAAAATTCTCTTTTGTTTTTCCTCTGGGAAAGCAGGGGGTTTATATTAAAATAGCTCAATAGGGAGCACGTTCATAGGGCCCAGTTGGGATGATACTGAGTTTTCAGGTCCTCCAAGGCTTCTCCCCAAGTTCTGGTCCCTTTGTCCTGCTCTGTATGCCCTTGCATGTTTCACTCTGCGCCAGCCTCGTGCCTGAGTGCCCCCAGGTTCAGTGTCCAAGGCATTTCGTCTCATTCTTTTTTTGCCCTTGCTGCCACTCACTCTGACCTTGAATGCCAGTTCCACAGGCTTTGCTCAGACAAGTGTCTCTTTTGCATCCCTGTTCTGAGAAATTGGGTCTCTGCATTGTCTCTGACCCTTGTCTTGGTCATCTCCTTGGGACCAGTGGCTCCAATCCTGGCCCTATCTTAATCCTCTTAGTGTGGATCACCAGAATAAAACTTCTGACCACAAGCCTGACCTGGTGGAGGCTGCTGCCCTCCCACTGTCCCACCCCTGCCTGTGCATCTGCACACTATTCAGTGCTCTCACCATGCCCATTCCTAGACTCACCATTTGTCTTGCTCTGTGTTGTTTAGAGCACCCCAAGACTCCACACCCATGGTTTTGACCTCTTCCATGTCCTTCATTTCCTGAAGCAGCAGTGATCCCCTGCTCTGCCCCAGTGCACTCCTCTGATCCAGGCTATCAAGTCCTGGCTCTCACCCAGCACCCCGATTTCCAATTAGGTGATAAGATGCAAATATTGAATTAATATGGGGAAAGAATTCAAATAATCCAAAAACGAGAAGAAGGCAACATCTCTCTATGGCACACATGGTAAAAATAAACCCAAGTTCAAAGTCCGATATGGATCCCTCATGCACAACAAAAGGAGCTCTGCTTGTGTGTTGTGTGTTCCCCAAGAAGAGACAAGGGGCCTCACAAAGAAATAATGAGTTCTTGAAAACAAGTTGTAAGCTGAACAGAGAAAGTGAGTGTTCCATATATTGTTTTATTTTCTTCCTTTGATGGTAGGAAAAACCTTAGCAGAGCAGAAAACCTGCCTTCCTCTGTGCTACCCTAATCAGCATCTCAGTGGCCCTGGGAGCTGCTGCAGGACCTCTGCAGGGTCCTCACCTAAGGAAGTGTAATTACCCTGAGCCTTGGTGGAGCCACCAGGACAGTCAACCCTGGGGCCCATCTTGCTCTTCCTTTCTTTATTTTTCAGCACTCCTCCATCTTTCCCCCTCATTTATTTCCTGGGAAACTTTCTGGAAGCCTTCTTCTAGGTGTAGGCAGTCACACTGAAGACAAATGTTTGGGGGGCTCTTGCTCCAGGGAAACGGTGGCTGGAGACCTTGAATGGTAGACACTGCTGCAGGGCTCCTCCCAGGAGCAAGGCAAAGCACTGGTGGAATCTGCATAATTGAGTCACCTCAACCACTTCCAATATCACATGACCCCTTGACGAGTGCTGAATTGTGTTCAGTTCATGGATCAATTATCTGATAAGTGAGTGAAGGGCCAATTCCCTCTGGCTGATTTAAAAAAAAAGGATTCTTATGTATTAGTTACATAATTACGTATTAGTTACAGAATTAGACATTGAAGTGCTAGTGGACTAGCAAGTTGTAACAAATCCTGATTAGACACTAATCTAGACCATGAAATTTCCATTGTTGTCATTGGATAGCCTTCTTCAACATAGAAATGAAGGTATTAAGGAAAGATGACTGGATTGCACAGTGGACACAATTATGTGCACATTTACAAAAGAAGTAACCTGGACGGTGTCACACCTGGATGGTGTGGTGTGTTATCAAGAAGGGATTTAATAAAGGGAATTAGGGGCATGCAAAATCCTTTGAAGCGTGGACAAACTGCGCGGCCCTTTAAGCACCTGAGAAGTGTAGGAACTAAGATGCTTCTCCCGTCACTGCTAACAGCTGCTTCTAGTGCTCAAGCAGTGATTTGTAGTTCTCCCACAGGCAGCCATAAACCTGATGTTTGGGGTTGACCCATGCATCAATTTGCTGCTTCTAAAGCAAAATAATGGCTTTTCCACCCTTGCACCTACAAAATTGTTTTTAAGTGCCTCTCACTGGTAAAATGTAAACCAGAATCTAGTAACAAAGCCAGGGAATGTAGTTTTCAGGCTTTCAAGCCCTGCAATTTAGGGCAGAGTTTAGAGGGAAAGTGGTAGTGCTAAAGATCAACATACAGCATCTGACACAAACTTTCAGTGTCATAAATATTACCTGCACAGTGGTGGAAGCTTCTTTCTCAGGGATTGGAAATAGCTCTCCAGCCTGGAACCAAGCCAGTGGTGTCTCAGGACTATACCTCTGTCCACTTCGGGATTCTTCTTTGTAACAGAACTCTTCAGCACTCCTTCACTGAATAAGCATTGTATTTCAGCTACTAAACCTTATTTAGGTGCAACTGCTGTTGCTATTCTTGCTTTTTCTCTTATCTTTCCATTGCAACCTCTATCTTTTTACCCAATGCTTTCCTGCAATCCCCCAACTATTCTCAGAGAGGAAACCCCCCTTCCTAAAGAAGAAAAACAAATGCATTCTTGAGGAAAACACCACTCTCTCCATAAGGATGAAAGGGATTGTGTTTGATTCCTTGGTGAAAAGAAAGAACAGCTTACCGCCTGACCATTGTGCAAACCATTGGTGAGGCTAAAGAGACCTCCTTTCCATGGTCCTGCGACTCTTCAGTCTTATTTCACCCTACAAGGGGACCCCTCTGGATGAGCTCATTGACCAAGCTCTCCTTGCATGCAGGCATTTATACCCACATTCATACAATCTTGCTTCACTTTATGTGCACAACAATCCTACATCATATGTAAATGGATTATTCTCCTTATTCATATATGATGAAATTAAGGATGCAGAGAAAATAAGCCACTTGCTGTAAGGCATGGGTAGTTTCAGAGAGCATGAGAACCTAACCCTTTTGACTCTTATCCAAGTGCCCTCTCTACAGACCAGCAAAGACTTAACAGTGAAGGAAAAAAATTGAAACAATTTTCTTATTTGCTGCTGCCTTCAAAGTGGGCTCATTTGGTGACAATCTGCCGTTCTTTTTCCACTGTCCCCATACTCTCAGTCCCTGTGAACACAGCTATGCATATATTTGCAATAAATAAGAAAGGTGACCCAGAATTAATATAACTAGCAATTCAGTATGTGCCTTACATAATGCTTTAACATTTTATTTTCATGTAACGGAGCATTGAAATTGTCCCCACTTGACCCCTGCTAGCCACAGAAAATTGGCAGTGTTTTAATTAATGACTGCTGGTTACCACATTGTATCTTCTAGCTAATTACCTAAAGTGCTTACCTTGTGCTAAGAAGATTACAGGATTTTACATATTGATGCTTTGGGTTAAATTTTACTCTTTAGAATAAAGATGAATCTAAAGTAGATGACTGATAAATAATTCTGTCAAACCCTGGCGAAGTCTACTTCCCTCCAATTAAACAAATGCTAGCCCTTGGAACTGTAGTCCTCATAGTAGATGAATCAGTTGGCAGTGTGTTCACTATTATTCCATTTAGTAACCACAATTAGATCTTCAGATGCAATAACCCTTCAACTTAGGTTCATTTTTCTGATGAAGAAAAGATTTAATGTTTTCTTAAATGCATTTGAAACTTTATTTCTATCTTCATTAGGACCTTTTAGTAATAAAGAAACTTACTTCAGTCTAGATAGGAATAAACAGATCATCCTTTTCTGCTATTTAATTGAGACGACTTAGCATTGTAGTTAATTTTATGTTGTGATTCTTTAATATAAATGTTTCAACAATTACAAGCATTTTTCTGGTGAAAATTATTTAAGAAAAGGAAAACAATGTGTTGTTGACATGGATATTCATGTAAATTTTTCAAACCACACCAGCATGTTATTTGATTTTCAGTTTCTTAAATACAGTTTTATATAATTTGAAATTTTTAGATTACCTATCTTTTTTTTTTTTTTTTTTTTTTTTTTTTTTGAGACAGAGTCTCGCTCTTTCGCCCAGGCTGGACTGCAGTGGCGCTGTCTTGGCTCACTGCAAGCTCTGCCTCCCGGGTTCAGGCCATTCTCCTGCCTCAGCCTCCCTAGTAGCTGGGACTACAGGCGCCCGCTACCACGCCCGGCTAATTTTTTTTTTGTATTTTTAGTAGAGACGGGGTTTCACCGTGTTAGCTAGGATGGTCTCGACCTCCTGACCTCGTGATCCACCCGCCTCGGCCTCCCAAAGTGCTGGGATTACAGGCGTGAGCCACCGCGCCCGGCCTAGATTACCTATCTTATAGTTATATTTTTTCAATCCTATATTTGGTTGAGTTTTCAGGTTGTGTGTATTGGACTAAATCTATTCTCAATTTACAGTCAACTTTGGGAACGACATTAATAGCCTTTACTGATTTTCAAAGTGTGTTACAAATTTAAGCACTTAAATAAAAGTTGAAGGCTTTTTCCTTAATTTTAACTTCCAATAAATCTATTATCCTCACACTAATGAACACAATATCCACAAGAAGTAATTTGATAATTTATAAAAGCCAAATTCTTTAAAAATGCAGTCTAATTTTATAGGAGAAAAAAATGATTATCTCAATATATGGTTAAAAACTAGCTGATAATATTCAACATCCTCTTCTGATTGAAGCAACGAGAACAAAAAAAGAGTTTTGTAAAATAATTACATAGAAACACTTCCTTATAACCCAAAGTGCTTTGGAAAATGAAGAAAAAGACAAAAGCTCAGTAGAAAAATGGGTAAGGGATAAATGGGCTGTTTACTAAAGAACAAATACAGATGGCCAATACATTCATGATGCTCAAAATTATCTATAAACAGAAACAAACAAAAATACAAAAAAAATCCGCCAAAATGTGCAAATTAAAATAGTGATGTATAGCATTGATGCAGATTTAAAAGTTTAATAGCATACATGTATGAGGAAAAAATTAACCCTCAGCTAGCACTGAAGGAGATAACGTTTGTACATTTTTAAGGCAGTTTATTGTAAATATGGTAATATATTTTAAGATTTGAATATGCATCACCTTTGGTCCGAAATTCTTCTCCCTGAATTAAGCATACAGATTGCCTACCGCTATATATATATATTTCTCTCCACTGATGCACTGATTGATGAGTGGAGACATTCATTGCAACGTGGTCCCTATTCTTGTGGAATGGGAAAGACAGACAGCCATATAATCTTAAAATTATTAAATAATTAAAAAGAGAATGTTAGAAAGCACAACAATGTTGTTTGCTTACTATAAGCCATACCAATACATAGTTCAAGAACTTCAGTGCTTCTACCATCCCATAATGAAGGTTCTATTATTATTTCCATTTTACAAGTTAAGAAGCTGAAATATTATGTAACTTACCTAATTTTACACGTTAGGAATCTATTGCTTTGTAACAAATTACCCCAATTTAGTGGCTTAAGATAGTATACATTTAATAGCTTCCATTTCTGTAGGTCTGGAATGCATGTGTGGCTTAGCTGAGACCTCTGGTTCACCATCTTCCCAACATTGCAGCCAAGGGGTTGGCTGGGATGCAGTCATTTCAAAGCTTAGCTGTGGGAGGGTCTTCTCCCAAGCTCACTCCTGTGATGGTTGATAAGCTTTACTTTCTCAGACTGTTGACTGAAGACCAACTCCCAGTTCCTTCCCATGGGAGCCTCTCCACAGAGCAGCTCACAACATGGTAGCTGGAATTCCCCAGAGTTAAGACTGAGCGGGAGGGAGAGAGGGAAGAAGAAAAAGAGATGGCAGTCATGATCTTTTTAGCCATAGCTCCTCACCCAGTATTTGTCACAGTACAGGTGCTCAGTAATTAATAAAGTCCATTTGCATAAAAACGAAGGCTACATTATTTTATGTTTAGAAGATATTAGAAAGTCCGTAATCTCTCTGAAGGTATTTACTTTTTTACTGTTTGAATTTTTGACAAAAAATTCAGATTCCCTAATCCAAAATTCTCATGCTTTAAATCCCAATAAGTAAACTAGTAAATAGCTTTCATTAATTATTTTTCAAAATCAACCACTCTTATACTGATGTATTTATTTTTTCTCAAGCATTTGAGGCCAAGAACAATGGCTCGTGCCTATTTTCCCAACACTTTGGGAGGCTAAGGTGGAAGGATCAATTGTGGCCAAGAGTTTCAGACAGTCTGAGCAACCAAGCAAGACCCCATCTTTACAAAAAATTTTTAAAGGCCTAGCGGGGTATGGTGGTGTCTGCCGGTATTATAGTCCCAGCTACTTGGGAGGCTGAGGGGGGAGGATTGCTTGAACCCGGGAGTTCGAGGCCACAGCGAGCTATGATGGTGTCACTGCCCTCCAACCTGGGCAAAAGAGCAAGACCCTGTCTCAAAAAAAAAAAAAAAAAAGGCACCAAAATCTGCTGTGAACTTTCATATGAATTAAGGTTTTTTTTTTAATTATTATACTTTAAGTTCTGGGATACATGTGCAGAACGTGTAGGTTTGTTACATAGGTATAAATGTGCCACGGTGGTTTGCTGCACCCATCAACCTATCATGTAGGTTTTAAGCCCTGGATGCATTAGGTATTTGTCCTAATGCTCTTACTCCCCTTGCCCCCACCCCCTCACAGGCCCCAGTATGTGATGTTCCCTTCCCTGTGTCCATGTGTTCTCATTGTTCAATTCCTACTTATGAGTGAGAACATGAGGTGTTTGGTTTTCTGTTCCTGTGTTAGTTTGCTGAGAATGATGATTTCCAGTTTCATCCATTTTCCAGTTTCATCTATTTTATGGCTGCATAGTATTCCGTGAAGCATGTGTGCCACATTTTCTTGATCAAGTCTATCATTGATGGGCATTTGGATTGGTTCCAAGTCTTTGCTGTTGTGAATAGTGCTGCAGTAAACATATGTGTGCATGTGTCTTCATAGTAAAATGATTTATAATCCCTTGGGTATATACCCAGTAATGGGATTGCTGGGTCAAATGGTATTTCTAGTTCTAGATCCTTGAGGAATTGCCACACTGTCTTCCACAGTGGTCAAACTAATTTACACTCCCACTAACAGTGTGAAAGCCTTCCTATTTCTCCACATCCTCTCCAGCATCTGTTGTTTCCTGACTTTTTAATGATCACCATTGTGACTGGCATGAGATGGTATCACATTGTGGTTTTGATTTGCATTTCTCTAATGACAAGTGATGATGAGCTTTTTTTCATATGTTTCTTGGCCACATAAAAGTCTCATATGAATTAAGTTTTAAATTATCTACATTATACAAGTTGCTGGTGTAATTCTGAATTTTGTACATTTTGATAACTTATTTCCAAGGAGGGAGCAGATTTAGGGATAAAAATGGTTGTCCTTTTAGTCTCACTTTATAAAATACTCATTAGCTCAAGTGAGGAAAACATATTGAAGAGATAATAAAATACTGTTATGTTTTTAAATGTTTTTATCCCTGACTTTGAATTCCTTATGAAAAGAAGAATTTTAAAAACTTTTTCTACTTAGAATCATTTTATGAAAATTCATATTTTAGATATGTAATAAAGAACTAATGCAAACATGTGAGTTTTGTTAGTAGATGTTCCCTCTTCTAAATGTACAATTATCCTACATTTACATTTCTCTTAATTACCTTTAAAACAGATATCAGAAAACTATGGGCCACAATTCAAATTTGGCCCACATCCTGTTTTTGTTTTTGTAAATAAGTTTTTTAGACTATCTTATTTCCTCATAATGATCACCAACATTTATCACTATATGCTAGGACAAAGATCAATTCTTCTCAGATTCAGTATTTTTGAAGACTCCTCCTCCTCCTCTTCCTCCTCCTCCTCCTTCTCTTCCTCCTCTTCCACTTGTTTTAGAGACAAGATCTCACTGTCACCCAGGCTAGAGTACAGTGGAGCTCACTGTAACCTCAAACCCACCTCAGCCTCCCAGAGCATTGGGAGTAGCTAAGACTACAGGCATGACCCAACATGTCCAGCTAATTTTTAAAATTTTATAGAAATGAGGGCTCACTCTGTGACTCTGGCTAGTCTCAAACTCCTGGTCTCAAGTCTTGCCCCCACCCTGGTCTCCGAGAGTGCTGGGATTACAGGTGTGAGCTGTCATGGCCTGCCAATAAGTTGTTATGAAACACAATCATGCTATTTTGTTTCTGTATTTTCTATGGCTACTTTCATGACTCAGTGGCAGAGATGAGTATTTGTGACAAAGACTGTATGACCTGCTAAATTTAAAATATTTACTCTCTGGCCTTTACAGAAAGATTACCAACCTCTTTCTGAAAATGTTAAGCATTTTTATTCATGAACATGGTATAACTCTCTAATTATTTAGGTCTTATTTAGTTATTCTCAACAACTTTTACAATTTTCAGTGGGCTGGTCTTGCACATATTTTGTTAAATTTATTCTAAATATTTTATGGTTTTTTGCCAATATATTTTCTTTTTAATTTTTATTCCCAATTGGTTGTTACTATTATACATAAATAAAATTGACATTGATTTTTGTATATTGATGTTGTATCCCATGACTTTGCTAAACTCATTTTATAGTTATAGCAACTTTTTTGTTTACTCTTTTCAATTATCTATGTAGAAAATCATGTTATCTGTCAGTAAATACAGTTATATTCTTATCAATCTACATTCGTGTACTTTTATTTTCTTCTTATTATTTTTCTTTTTTTTTTTTTTTGAGACGAAGTCTCACTCTGTCGCCCAGGCTGGAGTGCAGCGCCGTGATCTCAGCTCATTGCATCCTCTGCCTCCCAGGTTCAAGCAGTTCTCTGCCTCAGCCTCTCAAGTAGCTGGGATTAGCAGGAGAATCACTTGAACCCAGGAGGCGGAAGTTGCAGTGAGCCGAAATCGTGCCACTGCACTCCAGCCTGGGTGAGAGAGCAAGACTACATCTCAAAAAAAAAAAAAAAAAAATTCAGGTTGTCGTATGTCCCCTCTAGCAGTTCCATTTTGATGGGAACCACCTGTTGTGGGGATTCTACTTGATCTCCTCATTCAATGTGAAAGGTCCCCTTAGGTACCTTATCAATTTCTCTCGTCTCTTCAGTGGGGCTAGAGACAAGTTGCTGAGAAATCTAAACCAGAAACACGGGAAAGGAAGGCACAGCCACAGTCTCTGCCATTGTGAGCTCGAGTGAGACCAATACACAAGTTGTCATTAGGGTATGGAGACAGCAAGAGGAAGTGTCTCCCATTCTCCTGTCCTCAGATGCAAAGTCTGAAGTTTCCTGCTTGAGGCCTGTGGAGACGTCTGACTTGTTCAGCTCCCGTGTAGGTTCTTGGGCCAGGAAGCTAGCACCTTCTCTCTAGAACACATCTTTGGCCCAAACGTTGAGCTTCCTCCAGGAAGATCCTCACCCCAGAGCTTTCCCCTCAAGTCCCCAGATACTCAGGCCAGAGAAGAAAAATGCCCTGGGAGAGTCTTTCAAGGCCTGAATCCCATTCTCCCAGCCCACCCAACTCCTCCAGGCCAGAAGCAGGCAGCATGGCAGGTTCATCCAGTCACCATCTTCCCAGAAGTCTTCTAGGACCTTCATAATCTGTTTCATTATTTCTAAAATCCTTTTTTTTTTTACCCAGTTGTATATAAATCCTTCATATGAATCATACCACATTCATTATAATAGCATATCATATCTGTGCCATTCCCTCCTTGCATGGAAGCACTCTGAGGAGAGAGGTGTTTTAATTCTGTGCTGTCTTACTGCACTAATCTGATGTATTTATTTAA
Source organism: Homo sapiens (assembly GCF_000001405.40). NCBI lineage: Eukaryota > Metazoa > Chordata > Mammalia > Primates > Hominidae > Homo > Homo sapiens. The sequence goes on along the minus strand of NW_025791814.1, from coordinate 416,469 downwards.
ATAACATTAAATGATATTAATGGTGTATTGTGTGTCTAGACCGGAATATAACCACCGTTAAAGAGAAACCTGCAATATTCCTATTCTCTTTGTAGCCTCAGACATGTGCAGTGAGCAAAGACTTCAAATGCCATGTCCCTGGAGCACTCCTTGTTTACATTCATATTAAGTCCCTGGGAACACAAGGAATTTATTTAGCACCATGAGAGTTGTCTGCTTCTGTGGTTGTTCTACTGTGATTTCTTTGAATAATTTATCAGCTACTTAACACTCATCAAATTTGGCTTTTTATGTAGAGAAACTATCTGTAAGTTCTGTTAGTTTTTATCTCAGAGTCTGAGATACTGTCATTTTAAATAAATGCTTTTCTCTCTAAACAAGAATTTTAATACTGGAGGAAAGAAAGAAAAACCTGGTGTATCCCGTGACTGCCTTATGGGATCAGTGTGAAGCATCTCTTTATGAGTCTGTGTGTACTTGAACTCGTTGTCTTCCCATACTTACTCTCGTTTGCATCATTGCTCGTCTTTCTTTTTCTGTCTCAGGTGCTGGGGTTCCCCAGTTCCAGCCAATTGCCCTAAATGGCCGAATCCAAGTTCTCAGCAATGGGTCGTTGCTGATCAAGCATGTCGTGGAGGAAGACAGTGGCTACTACCTCTGCAAGGTCAGCAACGATGTGGGCGCAGACGTCAGCAAGTCCATGTACCTCACGGTTAAAAGTAAGAGAGAAGAAATGCTTCGTTTTACCTAGTTTAAATACATAGGTCTCTGGGGGCTTCCTTTTTCAATTGTCTCCATACATACCTGTTTAAAAGCAACACAAAAGAAGACCCGTTGGTGTGATATAGCTGGGTTTAAAGTTTTGTTGTTCTGGAAACATGATTGAAGAGGATGGTAAACATCCAGCTAATTGTTGACAGTGTGCCCAGGGCCCCTTGTGTGTGGAGCATGAGCCACATTCTTCTCTTCCTTTGGTTCTCACAGCCATTGGTATGGGCTCTGGGCAACCTAGCAGATGAGTAGGTCTCTGCCTTTAACACCCACATTGCTACCCTGTTGATTTTCCCGTGGAAAAACTCAATACATGGTCTCAGATGTGCTCTTTACAAAGCCTTTTGTCATGCATTTTGTTATTTGCAAGCTGTCTTGTCCATGGATTTCCTTTTAAGGATCATTTTAAAATCAAGTGACTAGCGAACAACTACAAGACAGAAATGTGTAAGACTAGGCTTAATGCTGGCGCTGCTGGCCCAATATATAGAAAAAGGTGCGTTATAATGAAATTATTCTCATACATTGGTAACTGGCAACCAAGGAAAGGATATAAAGTGAACCAGTTTTACTGAGTTGTGCTTATTAACAAAATGATGGTGCATCTAGTTTACAGTGAATGGCTTATGCCCATTTATGGAATTTTCCATCGAATGAACTGTGATTTCTTCTTGATTACAAGGCTTTATTCAGACTCCCCTCCCACTTTTTTTTTGAGGCAGAGGCTCACTCTGTTGCCCAGGCTAGAGTGCAGTGGTGCCATCAAAGCTCACTACACCCTCGAACTCCTGAGCTCAAGGGATTCTCCCACCTCAGCTTTCTTAGTAGCTAAGACTACCAGTGTATGCCACTGAGCCCAGCTTTTTTTTTTTTTAATTTTTTATAAAGATGAGGGTCTCACTTTGTTACCCAGGCTGGTCTCAAGCTCCTTCCCTCAAGTGATCCTCCCCTCTTGGCCTCCCAAAGCACTGGGATTACAGGCATAAGCCACTATGCCTGGCCCTTGGATTTCCTCTTTTTTTTAACTTTAATTCTGCTATGGATAGTTTGGAAAAGTCTCTACTATATGATTTATTAGAAGAATGAGATTTAAAAGTGGCATTCAGGGGTGTGTGTATTTGTGTGTGTATGATATTGAAAGGCTAGCTAAACAGACAAGTATCCATCCTAACTCACGAAGAATTTATTTTAGTTAGTCCACTATTTCCAACAGAACAAAAAAAATCCAAGTGTTTATTTATTAAAGTTTTATATTGTGAAATGGATTATAATTATGAAATGGGGTTGTTTTGGAATATATTTTGCACATACTCAATACCTAGTTTTTGACTTTTAAATCGTATGCTCTGGAGGAAATGATGTGCAAGAATTTGATAACGAATTGTGGTACTGTTTAAATCCAGAGCTGAAATGGTAATTTTTAAAAGTTATAAAGGAAACCTAAAATCTGAGGAGCAATGTTGACCAGAGTCGGTCCATCTTTCCCCAAGGAAAGGGGTGTATTTTGCAGTTATTTTAATAGACTTTAAATGCATAAGACAATTTTTTAGTCCATAAACACATATCTAGGACCCAATATATATAAGACCCTATGAAGGATACAAGTACAATCAACCATGGGCCTTACCCTCATGAGTGACAAGCCTCATGTTTTGGAAGGGGAGATAACCAGGAAGAAGATAGAAGCCACTGATTACAATGCAGGGTGAAGAGTCACATGGATCATGTCTGTGACATTCAGAGGAGGATGGAAATGTCAGCTTGGGGGAATTAAGGAAAGCTTCATGGAAAATAGGCTTCAAGAATGGACGATGCCCCCATATGTCCTCTCTCCAGATCTCGGTACTCAGTGGCAGTTGTGCAGCATCAGGGAGGACTAAGGAGATGAGGTGGCCCCTGCCCTCTAGGAGCTTTTGCTCTCTGGGGATAATTGAGTGGATATATGTCCAATTCCTGTCTGGCAGAATACACAACTGGTGGAACAGAGCCCAGAACACCAGGGTTCATGGAAGAGGGTATGATTTGCTTCTGTTTGTAGAATCAGTGACCGTGTGGAATGAACTGAATGTCTGTGTCCCTTCAAAGTCCATATGTTGAAATCTTACCGCCAGTGTGATGATACTAGAATCTGAGGCCTTTGAAAAGTGATTGGGTCACAAAGGGGGAGCCCTCAGGGATGGAATTAGTGTCCTTATCGAAGGGACCCCAGAGAGCTCTCCTGTTCTCTGTTTCCACCATGCGAGGATATACAAGAAGGTGGCAACCTGGAGGAGGATGCTAGAACCTGCCCCTGCTGGCAGCCCCATCTCAGACTTCCAGCCTTAGAACTGTGAGGAATACATTTCCGTTGTTGATAAGCCACCAATGTATGGCACTTTGTTACAGCAGCCCCAGTTGACTAAGAAACTACGGAACGAAAAGCTGCAGCATCTGAGTTCGGTCTTAAAGACACAAGGGCCTTCAAAAGGCAGGACTGTTGAGGCTAGATAGGGTATTCCAGGGACAGGAGACAGAGAAGCCAGATACAAGAAACTGAAAGACTCCAGGCAAGAGTAACTCTCTGTTCGAATGTTCTACAGTACATGGAGGAGATGGGAGAGGAGAACATTTAAAGTGAACACACTTCAAAGAGAGATGATAGAGTTGGCCAAATTTTAGATTCTTAAACTAATACAAGCTAGTCATGGACAGGTGGATTTAAATAAGTTAAATGCACCTCTTCATGACTGTTTGTATTAGTTTATCTCTCTAGGCCTAGAAAATAGGAAGAACTATGCCATCTTCATAGAGTTATCATGAAAATTAAACAGGGTAACACATGTGAAAACACATTGTAAGACATAAGATACTCTAAATAAGTATTCCAATACATACATAGAGTAAATGATTCTTTGGTTGGAAAGAAAGAGAAAATGTATATTGATGGCACAGTGCATAGGAGCATTTCCAGAAAGTTATTCTGAAAAAAAATTAAAAGGCCAGAGGCTAGGAAAAGGGAAGAAGAAAGAGGACCTCCATGGCCCATGGGGAGGTATTTTCATCCTTGTCTAATACTCGTCCAAAGCTCAGCCCTGGAGTGGTGTCTTTAGCAACTCTAATGGCCAATGTCTTTTGCCTAACCCTAGTTGTTTAAGAACAATCAGTAAAGTGTTTTAGGATCTCAAACTGAAAAAAAAAATAGATATAAAGGAGAGTTTACTGGTCTAAATAAACACATTAAGTACTCTCCCCTTTCTGTAAGTCATTTTAAAAAATGGGCTGCAAATATTTCTAAATTCAATAGGGGAGACCTTGCTGTCTAATTGGATGATGTCAGGAAATTAAGACAGCTGCTCCTGCAGCAAGTCTGGACTCCCAGGATGGCCTGGTGCTGGCTGTAAACATAATTTAAAGACCCAAACTCTCCGGATAGGACCTGCTTCTGGGGGCTCACTGTGAGATCCTGCGAACCCTGCACAGAGGGTTTCTCCTATATGGGAAATTTTCTTACTGCTTTCAAGAAACATCACTCCAAAAATAAAGCATTTTAACAATAAACACCCACCACATACACACACATCTTTTTGTTGTTGTTATTGAATCAAGCATAAGGAAGCCACAGGCAAAGAAGAAAGCCAGCAAGCATGTATGGAATTGTCATGGAAAGCAATCAATGGGATGGAAGGTTACTGCATGCAAATCTTTCCAGCTCTGTTGGGGTTCCTGTCTGTGAGTCTACACTGTCATCACAATTCTGGTTTATGTTTTACCCAAAATAATTATCATGTGAGATAACGATTAGGAGGCTTGGCAGAAAAGGCAGAGGGAGTAGGCTCTGCTTGCAATCAAATTTGGCCTCTGGTGATGACATCCTGCCCTATGCTCCAGGCCGATCGGGGGCTACAGAAGCTATGCCACTTATGTGCCCCTTCCCCCAACCAGGAACTGTTTGAGGCCCAGGGAATGACTTTATGTTAAAAAAAAAAAAAATAGCTCTGTCAATCGAGGAAAATAATGAGACAAGTCTCAATCATTTTAGGATATTTATTTGCCAAAGTTGAGGATGCTCCCAGGAGACAGGTCTATTCCTTTCTCCGAAGGTGATTTTGAGGGCTCCAAATTTAAAGGGGAAAGGATGAGATATTGAGAAGCACACAGCTTTCACATAAACAAAAGGGGCAGAGGAAAACTGTGGGGAATGTGCATTTTACATACCACAGACAAAATGGAGAGGGGAACGTTCAGTTATACATTTGTGTCTGGTGGGCAGAGCGACTGCACCTGTAAAGATAGGCTATCAAGTTGCATTGCCATGGGGAAGCTTTAACAGCTCACCAGGAATTTCCTTGTGGGCAAAATATGAGGGAAGCGTGTAGCTTTTCATCTTGTAGCCATCTTGTTTAGGAACCAAAAGGTGGAGGCAGATTTGCGTGACCCAGTTCCCAGCTTGACTTTTCTCTTTGGCTAAACGAATTTGGGGTCCCAAAATTTAATTTCCTTTCACAGCTCCAAAACCCACTGAATCTCTTAAATGGATAGCCATCCCTAAGGTTTGTCTCAGATGCCCAAATTACATCCTCCCCGCTCCCAACTTTCTGCCACTGGCTGATCTGAAGCCTCGTGTTTCCGGGAACACTGGTTTCAGCGTGAACCTGTGGCCCACAGTGAACAAGCCGCTCTGCTTTTGTGAGCTGCTCTGCATAGGTCCTTTCTGATCCCTGCATGCAGGACAAAAGAGCACCGCTTATCAAACAGGAACAGGCGCTTCCCTGGAGAGTCAGTTACTCTTGGAATCTAGTGAACCCCCAAGCTCCCAAAGTTAGCCCGTGGGCTCTAGTCCAGCCTATGTAATGTGGTCTCCCTCCTCCATGCTGAATCCAGGAAGGTCTGTGGGTCGCTGTGCCCATCAGATTTCTGTACTGTCAGAATGCAAGTGCACACATGTGCATGCACCAACTCACTCAGCTCTGACCTGACCGTCTGCAGGGTCTTGGCTATTTCTGGACAGATCTCCATGTTATGATTTGACCTCAGGCCACTCTCAAGCCCTGCCATTGCCAGGGCAGATATGTTGGGCCTGACATATAATAACCCATCTCCTTTTCTGTTGAAAACATGTGTATCTATGCCTGGATAATCCATAGTCAACCTCCTTTACTTTCTGCCCTCACCCACTGCCACCAGTACCCACAAATCTTTATCCTAACCCCTAATTAGCTAAATGGAAATCTCCAGTCCCGGTAGCATTGCTCTGTGATACTTCTTGGAGGAGGAAGTAGCCCAGCCCCAAGCTGCCCCCAAGCGGCCCCCAAGCTGCCCCCCATGGTGAAGCTTTGGCCACCTTGAATTAACCCCACATGTTTCCCAGGCTCTTTATGATCACTCAGTCTGCTGAGCCAATCACCTCCCACCAAGCCCCTCTTCCAACACTGGAATTAAAATTGAGCATGAGATTTGGGTAGGAACACAGATCCAAACCATATCAATCATCATTTCTGAATTATAGTTTAAGTCCTTCCCAAACATGACAAATTAGTGCCTGAAATAGAATATGAGGTGTCCCAGGTTTGTGAACACCCAGCTTATGCACTTTCCTAAATTCAGTCACCAGCACCCCCAGCAGTCCTCCCCCAACAATTTATCCTGCACATATGCAACACTCAGATCCCTCCTGCTTCACTCTCAAGTCCAGTTGCCAGATACGTCTGCAACTTTGCTGGGAGTTTTTCCAAGGAAGGAGTCTCCCGCAGAAGCTTCAGAGGGACTGCAGCTGTGCCAGCACTTTGATTTTGCACTTCTGGTCCCCAGAATTGTTTAAGCATAAATTTCTGGAGGCAGAAGCAGAGAATGGGAAGAATCCAGGGAACGTAAGTGTGCTGGAGGGGACATTGCTTAGTGAAGGAAACCCCTCAGCAGCTGCCACGCCCTTGGTAGGGCATCCTGAGCTCCACCCAAACATATGCATTTCCCTTCCTAAGTCAGCCTGAAGTTCCACCAGCTAAAGATTCTCTGGGGTAAAAAAGGAATTTGTAAAACAGGAGGGTCCATATAGCAGATGCAATTTGATCCCTGCTCCAGTTTCAATTTCCCTCCTTTCTCTGTGCTAAAAATTGAATTATTTCCCGTCCACCCCCTAGATTTGTATGTTGAATTTGTAACCTCCAGTACCTTATATGACCATATTTGGAAATAGCGTACTTGCACATTGCAGGTATAATTAGTGAAGATGAGGCTCTACTGAAGTAGGCCGCCGGATCCCTAATCCAATATGACTGGTGTCCTTATTAAAAGGGGACAATCTGGGTGCAGACACAGATGGAAAACATAGCTGGGCAAAGACAGAGATTGGAGTTATGCTGCCACAGGCCAAGAGACACTGGGCAAGGCAAGGAAGGGGTCTCCTGTAGAAACTTCAGAGGGACTCCAGCCCTGCCAGAACTTTCATTTTGGACTTATGGCCCCCAGAAAGATGTGAGAATAAATTGCTGTTGTTTAAGCACCCCAGTTTGTGGAACTTTGTTACAGCAGCCCCGGGACACCATACACTCAGTGACAACAGAACTCTTTTGCGGTCTTGTGTTGGAGGGAAGCCCACCACAGGCCAGATCCCCTGCCTAAGCAGAAGAGTCCGAATCCATCAAAGCCACTGGGTGTGAGCCCTGGCCGGGACCCATCAAACGCAGCAGCTCCCTTTGATTGAAGGATGGGCAGACAACCAGAATTTGCACAATGAAACGTAAAAACAATTCTTTTGAGGAGTTTCTGGAGAAGATTTCCGTATTCTTAATACGGGACTCTGCAAAAGAGGTTTATCCCATTTAATTCTTGACCCCATGATGTCTGGCAGTACATGAGATCACCTGGGACTTTATTGCCTTTGCTGTCTAGGCCAATGTGGGTCAGGGTTTTTGCATTTGCAGCTGGAGGCATCCAAACTAATTAGCTAAGGAGAGAGCAGCATCTCCAATTCATGGAGTGCGATTCAGCCACAGTGTTCCCCTCGGTAATCCTGCTGAAATAAATGGCTCTGGGGGAATGAGGAGTTAGATCTGGATTGAGAAGCTATAGGGATTTGCAGTGCATGCTTTGGGCTGGGGCAGAACAGCTCCGTGGGAGGATAGCTGAAGGTGGATGGCAGCACTCGGACCTGGGCACATATGGTGGCTTACAGCAGGGAGCTCAGTACCTGGTGAGGGAGGTTCTCCTGCCTCAGCTTCCCGAGTAGCTGGGATTATTATAGATGCCCATCACTACACCTGGCTTATTTTTATATTTTTTCAGTATAGATGGGGTTTCACCATGTTGGCCAAGCTGGTCTCAAACTCCTGACCTCAGTTGATCTGCCTGCCTTGGCCTCCCAAAGTGCTGGAATTACAGGCATGAGCCACCACAGCCTTTCGAAAAATTACTGGGGCCAGTAAAAATCTTATGTTTCCACTCCACTGTTCTCCTCCTCCTCCTCTTCATCCTTCTGTTTTGAGGCACCCTTCTACCAAGCAACTAAAATGTTATTATTTTTTTTAACTTTGGGGTAATTGCGCCTATTTCAATGTTTTTCAGTTGATTTAAGGTCCTTCTGTTCCATGGCCTTCCCCTGTGGCCAGTGGCACTGATGTTCTGAACCCTCAATCAGCCATTACCTTCCACACTGGCATCTGCTGAGAAGTCTGAGTGCCATATGGTCCTTGACTGTGGGGTCACTGCTTAGTTCCCTTGGAATCTCCTCCTGTCTTCTGGCTGCCCCTGACCAGACCCACCCATTTGCCCATCAGCAGGGTTCACTGAATGCTCCCTAGTGTCAAGAATTGTTCTACATCCTGCGTGCTCTGAATAAGACCAAGTATTAGTTCACCGTCATGCAGCACAAATTCCCTTGAGAAAGACATGGAGATGGGTATATAACATAATGCCTGGCAGAGGATACAGTGATGTAAGAAAGCAAGGTGTGCATACGTCTTGGAGAAAGCATTCCAGGCAAATGAATTAGCAAGGGCAAAGGCTGAAGGGAGAAATTGGTTACATCTGTGGAGCAGCAGGGACCCTGTTTGCTGGAATGTATATATGTGTGTGTATTTGTATATACTTGTGTATATACGCATGCCTATGTTTGTATATATACACATACAGTATACATAGACCCACACAATCCAGATTTTTCTTTCTTTTTTTGAGGTGGAGTTTCTCTCTTGTTTCCCAGGCTAGAGTGCAATGGCACGATCTCAGCTCACTACAACCTCCACCTCCTGGGTTCAAGTGATTCTCCTGCCTCAGCCTCCCAAGTAGCTGGACTTACAGGCACCTGCCACCATGCCCGTCTAAGTTTTATATTTTAGTAGAGATGGGGTTTCAGCATGTTGGCCAGGCTGGTCTCAAACTCCTGACCTCAAGTGATCTGCCTGCCTCAGCCTCCCAAAATGTTGGGATTACAGGTGTAAGCCACCACACCCGGCCCATAATCCAGATTTTATGTTATATAGTTATGTGCTGCATAACAACATTTTGGTCAGTGATGGACCACATCTATGACAGTAGCCCTTAAGATGGAGCTATAATGGTTAACATACATCTAATATATGTGATAATGGACAACATCCTAACATTGTAACTTAATGCATGACTCACTTGTTTGTGGTGATGCTTACATAACAAACCTACTGCCCTGCCAGTGTACGAAAGCAGAGCACACATTATGTACACTATGTAATACTTGTGATAATAATAAATGACTATTCATGGTTTATGTATTTACTAATTGTTCATAATTACTTTAGACTACTCCTTCTACTTATAAAAAAAAAAAAAGTTAACTGTAAAACAGCTCAGGCAGGTCCTTCAGGAGGTGTCCAGATGACCTGTTACTTGTTTTTTCATTTTTTAATTTTTTCTATTTCAATAGCTTTAGGGGTACAAGTGACTTTGATGACATAGATGAATTGTTTAGTGATAAAGTCTAGGATTTTAATGCACCTATCATCTGAGTAGTGTACATTGTACTCAATATATAGTTTTCTATCCCTCACCTCCCTCCCACCCTCCCCACTTCTGAGTCTCCCGAGTCCGTTATAGCACTCTGTATGCCTTTGTGTGCCCAAAGCTTAGCTCCTACTTATAAATGAGAACATGCATTATTTGCTTTTTCAATTCCTGAATTACTTCACTTAGAATAATGGCCTCTAGTTCCATCTAAGTTGCTGCAAAAGACATTATTTCATTATTTTTATGGCTTAGTAGTACTTCACGATGTGTGTGGGGGTGTGTGTGTGTGTATATATATATATATATATATATGCATGTGAAAATTTCAAGATGATATATATCTAACATATATATATACACACAAGATATACAAGATTAATCTATATATAACATCTTTATATATATAAAATTTCAAGATTATATATATATATATATATATATATATATATATATAAAACATCTTTGTCCATTCATCAGTTAATGGACACTTAGGTTGATTCCATATCTTTGCAATTGTGAATTGTGCTGTGATAAACATAGACATGCAGGTGTCTTTTGATATAGTGACTTCTTTTCCTTTGGATAGATACCCAGTAGTGCGATTGCTGGATTAAATGGTAGATCTACTTTTAGTTATTTGAGAAACCTCCATACTGTTTTCTGTAGAGATTGTGCTAATTTACATTCCCACCAGCAGTGTGTAAGTGTTCCTTTTTCAATACATCCATGCCAACATCTATTGTTTGTTAACTTTTTAATAATGGCCATTCTGGCTAGGGGAAGGTCGTATCTCATTGTGGTTTTAATTGGCATTTCCCTAATAGTTAGTGATGTTGAGCAGTTTTTTCACACGTTTTTGGCCATTTGTATATCTTCTTTTGAGAAATATCCATTCAGGTCCTTTGCCCACTTTTTAATGGGATTATCTGTTTTTTCTTGCTGATTTCTTTGAGTTTGTAGATTGCGGATATTAGTACTTTGTCGGATGCATAATTTTCAAATATTTACTTCCATTCTGTAGGTTGTCTGTTTACTTTGATGATTATTTATTTTGCTGTGCAGAAGCTTTTTCATTAGGTCCCATGTATTTACTTTTGCTTTTGTTGCGTTTGCTTTTGGGGTCCTAGACATAATTCTTTGCCCAGGCCAATGTCCAAAAGAGTTTTTCCTAGGGATTCTTCTAGAATTTTTATGGTTTCAGGTTTTATATTTAAGTCTTTAATCCACCTTGAGTTAATTTTTGTATCTGGTGAGAGATAGGAATCCAGTTTCGCTCTTATATATGTGGCTATTTGATTTTCCCAGCACCGTTTATTGAATAAGTTGTATTCTCCTTAAATTGTGTGTCTAATCCATTATGTTTTTATATGCTTTGTCAAAGATCAGTCAGTTGTAAGTATTTGGCTTTATTTCTGAGTTCTCCATCATGTTCCATTTGTCTATGCATCTACTTTTATATCATTACAATGGTGTTTTAATTACTATAGCCTTGTAGTATCATTTGAAGTTGGGTAATGTGATTCTAAGAATAAATCTTTTTGCTTCGGATTTCTTTGGCTATTCTAGCTCTTTTTTGGTTCCCTATGAATTTTATGTTTTTTTTTTTATTTTGTGAAAAACGATGTTGGTATTTTGATAGGAATTGCATTGAATCTGTAGATTACTGAGCAGTATGGTCATTTCCACAATACCGATTCTTTCAATCTATGAACATGGGATGTTTTTCCATTTGTTTGTCATCTATGATTTCTTTCAGCAGTGTTTTGTAGTTCTCCTTTAGAGATCTTTTCACCTCCTTGGTAGAGTATATTTATTAAGTGTTTTAAAAATAAAGTGTTTTATTTTCTTTGTAGCTATTAAAGGGGTTGAGTTCTTTTTTTTTTCTTTTTTTTTTGAGACGGAATTTTGCTCTGTCCCCCACACTGGAGTGAATGAAGTGGTACGATTTCGGCTCACTGCAACCTCTGCCACCTGGTTCAGGCGGTTCTCCTGCCTCAGCTTCCCGAGTAGCTGGGATTATAGATGCCTGTCACTACACCTGGCTAATTTTTATATTTTTTTTCAGTATAAATGGGGTTTCACCATGTTGGCCAAGCTGGTCTCAAACTCCTGACCTCAGTTGATCTGCCTGCCTTGGCCTCCCAAAGTCAGGCGTGAGCCACCATGCCCAGCCTGAGATCGTGTTTGATTCTCAGCTTGGTCATTGTTGGTATATAGCAGTGCTACTGATTTGTGTATATTGATATTGTAACCTAAGACTTTACTGAATTCATTTATCAGATGTATGAGTCTTTTGGAGGAGTCTTTAGGGTTTTCTAACAGAGGTAGTTTTACTTCCTTTTTTCCTATTTGGAGGCCCTTGATTTCTTTCTCTTTCCTGATTTCTCTGGCTAGGACTGCCAGTATTATGATGAATGGAAGTGGGGAAAGTGGGCATCGTTGTCTTGCTTCAGTTGAATGCTTTCAGCTTTTCCCCATTCAATTCAGTATGATGTGGGCTCTGGGTTTGTTATATATGGCTTTTCTTATTTTGAGGTATGTTCCTTCTGTGCCTAGTGTGTTGAGAGTTTTTATCATAAAGGGATATTAGATTTTATCAAATGTTTTTTCTGCCTCTATTGAGATGATCATATGGTTTTTGTTTTTAATTATGTTTATGTGATGAATCACATTTTTTGACTTGCGTATGTGGAGCCATCCCTGCATCTTTAGAATTATCATGGTGAATTATTTTTTTGATGTGCTATTGGATTCGATTTGCTATTGGATTTGGTTTGCTAGTATTGTGTTGAGAATTTTTGCATCTGTATTCATCAGGAATATTGGTCTGTAGTTTTCCTATTTTGTTATGTCCTCTCCTGGCTTTGGTATGAGGATACTGGCTTCATAGAATAAGTTAGGCAGGATTCCCTCCTTCTCTGTCTTTTGGAATAATTTCAGAAGGATTGGTACCAATTCTTTTTTGAATGTCTGGTAGAATTTAGGTGTGAATCCAACTGGCCCTGGGCTTTGTTTTGTTGGCATTTTTTTTTTATTGCTGATTCAATATCACTGCTTGTTATTAGTCTCATCAGGATTTCTATTTATTCCTGATTTAAGCTATGGGGTTGTATGTTTCCAGGAACTTATTTATTTCCTCTAGATTTTCTAGTTTGTGTCCAGAGTGGTGTTCATAGTAGTCTCAAATGATCTTTTGCATTTCTGTGGTGTCAGTTGTGATGTCTCCATTTTCATTTCCAATTGAACTTATCTGAATCTTCTTTCTTTTCTTGGTTAATCTAGCTAGTGGTCTATCAATTTTATTTATCTTTTCAAATAACCTCCTTGTTGTTTCATTGATCTTTTATAATTTTTTTGTTTCAATTTGATTTAGTTCTGCTCTGATCTTTGTTATTTCTTTTCTTCTGCTAGCTTTGGGTTTGGTTTGTTCTTGTTTCATTCCTTGAAATGTGATGTTAGGTTGTCAACTTCTGATCTTTCAGACTTTTAATGTAGGCATTTAGTGCTGTAAACTTTCCTCTTAGCAATGCTTTTGCTGTATCCCAGAGATTTTGATAACTTGTGTCACAGTTATCATTCATTTTGAAAAAAAATTTAAATTTCCATCTTGATTTGATGGTTAACCCCAAAATCATTCAGAGGTAGATTGCTTAATTTTCATGTATTTGTATAGTTTTGAGGGTTCCTTTTGGAATTGATTTCTGGTTTTATTCCACTGTGGTCTGAGAAGATACTTGATATGATTGAAATTTTCTTTGCTCTGCTCACACGTTTATTCATCCAGGTAAACCTAAACATGATTTTGTCTATTTCAAAAATAACCATTAAGTAATTATTTATAGAATAATTTAATGTGAGGGACCCACCTTTTTACCATATTGAGTCATTATATCCAGAAATGAAACTTCTCTTTATTGTCTTTAGTTTTCTGGTAGATTCCTTAACGAAGAGGCACAGTTGTCTCCATTTTGGACTTAGACATATTTTATTAATTTTTACCAAAGAATTTTGAATTTTGTATGGCATTTTAAAAAGGTATCTTGGCTTTCTCTTTTATTTGTATAGCCTAAGCACACATCCTTATTAATTTAATACTATTGGACTCTTAATTATGTTTGAATATTTTTGCAAAATTAACAGCCTCATGGTGAGATGGCCAATGGCAAGAAAGCTCCAAGGTGCATGCACATTAGTTTCAACAGGAGCTGCCTGATTCTTTTCATTGATTCAAGAAACATTTGCTGAGTTCTTACCATGTGCCAAGCACGGTATTAGGCACAGTCAGCCAAGCCTCTGAGCTGGGATTCCCAAACTGCTGTCCTTGTACCTCATTTCTATCACTGCCCTCCAGCCAAAGCCCATCAGTCACATACTTGTAGGGTACCAAGTTGAGTTTATTCTTGTCATGAGCTAAAGCATACAACATGGAAACAATGAGATGCCTTCATAAGAGGGTGTTGGGAAGGACGTATTATAAACTTGGGCTTGTGTTAGGTGATTTGGGGGAAGGTTCAAGTAAGTAGGACCTAACTCTGGAGTGACGCTGCCAGAAAGTGGGAGTAATTCTATGATTGGGTATTGTCTTGATTTGTTTTCTGTTGCTATAATTATTACTTGAGACTGGGTACTTTATAAAGAAAATAGGCTTATTTCTTACAGTTCTGGAGGCGGGGCAAGTTCAAGGTGAAGAGGCTGCACCTGTAAGGGCCTTAATGCTGGTGAGGACTCTCTGCAGAGGCTTTTTGCTGCATAAAGCATGACATGGTGAGGAAGCTGACCTCATCTAAATCTAATTATCTCCTAAATATCCTGCCTCTCAAATACCGTGGTTAGATTTCCCACCCTCTTTTGGGAGGTGGGCTTAAACAACAGAAACTTATTTCTCACAGTTATCGAGGCTGAAAAGTCCAGGATCAAGATTCTAGCAAGGTAAGTTTTATTCTGAGGTCTCTTTTCTTGGCTTGTGGGTGGCTGCCATCTCACTGTGCACTCACATTACTTCTTTATGTACACATGGACAGAAAGAAAGAAAGAAAGCGAGAGGGAGAGAGAGAGGGAGGGAGGGAAAGAGAGAGAGAGAGAACACTCAAGTTAACTCTCAGGTGCCTTTTCTTAAAAGGATATTGATCTAATCAGACTAGACCTTCTCATGACTTCATCTCACTCTAATTACCTCTCAAAAGTAATTACCTCCCTGTCTCCAGATACCATTACATTGGTTAGGGCTTCAACATATGAATTTTGGAGAGGTACTACCATTAAATCCATAACATTAAATTTCTATTTGTCAGGGTTCTCCAGAGTAACAAAGCCAATAAGACATATAGAGAGATAGTGCTATTTATTAGCATACATATTTATATCTCTTTATATTGGTATATATGTATATACTTATATAAGAATGTGTGTGTGTGTGTGTGTGTGTGTGTGTGTGTGTAGAGAGAGAGAGAGAATAAGTTTATTATAAGGAATTGGCCCACATGATTATGGATGCTAAGAAGTCCCAGGAAAGCCAATGTGTAATTCCAATCTGAAAGCCATCAAGCTCTAGACCCAAGGAGAGCCAATGTTTCACTCGAAGTCCAAAGACAAGAAAAGACCAAGGTCCCAGCTCAGCCATCAGGCAGGCAGAGTTTCTTCATACTCAATCTTTTTGTTCTTTTCAGGTCTTAAATGGATGGGATGAGGCCCATGCACACTAGAAAAGGCAATCTGTTTGACTCAGCCTACCAATTCGGCTTTAATCTTGCCCAGAAACACCCTCACAGATACATATAGAATCATGTTTGACCAAATATGTGGGCAAGATTTCTCACCCCCTTAGCACAGTTATATAATTGTGGTTAAGTTTCACTGTGAGTTTCAGAGGGGACAAACATTCAAACCATAGCAGATATTTAATAAATCTTGTTCATAAGATGAGAGAAATGAAGCCAGGCTAATGCTGTTATGGGTAAAGAAGCAGTGGTCAGTCACGTTAGACAAAAGAACAGATGTTTGGTCATTGTTGTGGTTTCTTTGAACAATGCTCATGCTATTGTCTATGTTCAAACATGATAACGGAGGGGTCTTCTTTTGTCTTGATCCATCTCGGTCACAGAGCTGTTTTGTCTGATGTTAGTGTTTTGTGAAATTGTTTATCTTCAATAACAGAACACCAAGGCCCAGGTGGGAGTTCCCAGCCAGCTCCTGGATGTCGGGGGCTTTTTTCCAATCTCTAGTTTCATTATTATCATGTAATCATTTTTAATATCATTCATCTTGAAAAGGATGCAGAAGACAATACATAGTTTTGTTTAGACTTAATTAAGAAGAGAAGCTACACATAAGTGCTTTCATCAAGGGCCACTAGACCAGTCTTATTGCAAACTCAGCTGAAACAAGCTCCTGACCTGCAATGGGCCTTGTGAATGGGTACATGGAAATAAGCTGATGGACAGGCAAGGCTTGGAGATGTTTCTCTGATGATTTATTCTTTGTAGAATGCAAGTGCCTGGTTGTGATGCTCACTTTTCTCTTGAGGACTCCCAGGTGTGACCCTCTGCAGGGACCATCCTCACTCCTCATGTTAGGACATATCCAAAGACAACAGCTACGGAGCAGAGTCACTGATGCACATTTGTAAAGCAATGGCAGGTCATGGCAAGTGTCCATGCTACAGGGCAGTGACCCACCATCTGCTCTTTGCAGTTCAGCTGTGGCTGAGGCAGGAAGGCAGAGACAGGGCTGGAGGTGGTAGACTTTTGAATATACTGTTTTCCCACCTATTTATTTCAATTTCCACACCCTTAAGCCAATTGATTCCAGAACCTCAAGTTAGATGTCCACTTTTTGTGGCTATCCGTTTGGCTACTGATTGTAAGACACATTACAGAGGTGTACAGTCCATGTATACACAGGCAAGTAAGGATCTTCTCATTCCAAAGATGCTTGAGCAGAAAAGAGCACCTGATTTTCAGCTCATTCTGAACACTGGAACTGTGACTTTAATCATCAGTATGTTGTATAATAAAACCTGAAGGACTACACAGGATAAGCATTGTTAGTTAAGAATGGCTGACTCGGCTGGGCGCGGTGGCTCACGCCTGTAATCCCAGCACTTTGGGAGGCCGAGGCGGGCGGATCACAAGGTCAGGAGATTGAGACCATCCTGGCTAACACAGTGAAATCCCGTCTCTACTAAAAATACAAAAAACTAGTACTCTTGTAACTGTACAAGAGTACACCGAACAAAGGAGACAGGGTCATTTATAACAGGTGTGGTGGCGGGCACCTGTAGTCCCAGCTACTCGGGAGGCTGAGGCAGGAGAATAGCGTGAACCTGGGAGGCAGAGCTTACAGTGAGCCGAGACTTCGCCACTGCACTCCAGCCTGGGCGACAGAGCGAGACTCCATCTCAAAAAAAAAAAAAAAAAAAAAAAAAAAAAAGAATGGCTGACTCAAAACTTTCATTCTCTCTAAGAACTATTCAGTAACCAGTATTCAACTGATTCCAGTTGTAGCCTTCTTTCTAAGGAAATGGAGGTAACTTTTAACTTCTGGGCCCAGATGCATCGCCTCTTTACAGGTGTGGCCTAATTCTCATCTCTGGTTGGTGCTGTGGGATCTGCTCCATACTGGGAAGTCCCTGTCTAGCTTCTTGCCCCTTATTACTTAGCTTCTGTATTTGCTCAGAGTGGAGTCTTTATTCTTAATGAGAAGGAGGGAAGCCATATGCATTCCAGGGAGATGGTATAACCAGAGAAAAGGCCCTATGGCAAGAGGAAGCTTGGTGTGTTTCCTCCATGACACTGCTGGGGTAAAAAAAAAAAAAGAGTTCATTAAAGAGGAGATCAGATCCTTCGAGGGAGGTGAGAACTTTGCATTGCACTCTGGATGGATGGCCAGGCTCTTCATTTTTCCTTTTTCCTAGTAGGCATATTCATATGTGTAAGCGTTTTCTCTTTTAAGAAAATGAAATCACAGAGTATATGTTAGTATGCATTTGCTTTTTAAGTTGACAATATATCACAGTTGTCTTTCCAGACGTTAGAAATACTTGTTCCTCAGTGCCATAAAGAAATAGCACTTCAACATAAATTTAATCTCCTCAGCAGTGCCATTTTTACTTTCTGCAGAAGGGGTACACCCGCCAGCAGTTTTGCCCCAAGAGTACACCAAACAAAGGAGACAGGGTCGTTTATAACCTGAGGTGTCCACTCTACTGCTGTGTCTGGTTTCCATTGGCTGGAACGGGACCTCACATTCTGTGTTTGTCTCGATTGGCTAGCAACTTAGAACTTTTTAAAAGAGGTAAAGAGAGAGGAGAACAAAAGAAGGAGGAAGTAACTTGTGGAATGCTGAGAAAGGTAGAAACACCTTCAAATAAGGAAGAGGAACAGGCTATGACCTAATGCTTGTTTGGACCAGTATAAGCATGCCAGGGCAGATATTTAAGCTAAATTGTGGGAGCTAAGAACATAAAGTACCTTGATTTCTTCATTGCGGCTAGCAGACATTTAAGAATGTTAGCACAGGTCTTTGAATAAATTTCGCTTCTAAGAGAAGTTACTGTTTATTCCTATTTAGATGGGGAGGAAAGTCTTTGAAGAGGAACCTCTACTTTACTTTTTACACAGATAAATACACATAGCTCCATTTTATTGTATTTCAGGAGTAGCTCATATTTCACTTTATGGTTTGGCATCATTTTGCAACTGTTATCTTAGTTGGACATTCAGCTTGGAAACAATTTCATGTGTTCCTGTCATTTGAGAATAACATTTCTAGGCCTTGGAAGTAGTAGGTTCTCAACCAGTGTTTGCAGCAGGAAGAAATGCAAGAGGGAAAGAGCAGGAGAGCTGATGCCAGACATAGAAGAAGATCTCCAGGAAGAAGTTTTGGAAGACATGCTTTTAGGTTTTCATCGCTTCTCCTTTTTGTATATGGTACTGCTGAATGCTGCTAGGAACAATACTTTCTCCCCGGAGATGCAGGTCAGATGCCATGTTTTCTGTGGCTCATTTAGATTGATACAGAATGGGCCATTGCTAGAAAATGGAAACAAAACAGTCAGAAAGCACTTCACAATTCTGAGTCTGTAGCCATTGATTGTAAATGTGCAAGAGGAGAAAAGAGCACTTTTGCTTAAAACCCCATTGATAATGCAGCAAGGGGAAGGTACATTGCTCTGTGAAAAGAATAAGGAGAAAGGGGCTTTCTGTAGCCATAAACTGCATTAACAGGCACATAATACCATGAGTGTTGTCATTGTCATCACACCATGGAGCCACCTCTGTGCTACCTTGGCCATGTATTGAAGCCAGGAGAAAAAAACAAGGGTAAGTGCATGAGCATTAAAAAAATTAACGTTTGGAAGTCCTGAGTTGTCTTTTATTTTCTGCGACCTCTGAGAAGCCCCTCTTTCTCATGTGCCACTGTAAAATTATTTCCACAACTGTAAAAATTGGGATTGTAGTAATGCTAAATGAATCCATTCTGCTCATTCAGTCCTGTCTCCCAAGGTAATCACTGTAAAAGGCTAAGGATGATGCATTATGAGAGAATAGCATAGCCATGTGGAGAGGCAGTGCCAGGGAGTGCGTTTGCCATTGTGTGTGTGTGTGTGTGTGTGTGTGTGTTCAGCAAATACAGCCAGCCCTTTGAATCTGCAGCTTCCACACTCATAGATTCAACCATCCTCAAATAAAAAATATTCAGGGAAAAAAAAACAAAAAAATACAACAATAAACATAAATACAAATATAACACAGTACAATACAACAACTATTTGGATAGCACTTGTATTTTATTAGGTTTCATATGTAGTCTAGATGGCACCTAAAGTGTGCAGGAGGATGTGTGTAGGTTAGCTGCAAATACTAGGCCAGTGCATATGAAAAGTCTTGAACTCTCTCAGAGTTTTGTATCCTGTATGAGGGGTTCCTGGAACCAATTCCCCAAAGATACCAAGAAACAATTGTATCTTTGTTTTCTTTCCTCTCTTATCCCATTATCATATAACATATGATACATTGATTTGCTATCATAGTATTTAAGTATTGTCAACTTCACATCATAGTAGTAAAGTTACGGGACATTAAGGAGAGGCATGAACATCACCAAAGGACTTTGCTTTTCTTTTAGGGACAGGGTTTGTGTGCTTTCAGTTGTGCTCAGGGTAGTGATATTATGTGAAGTGGAAGTATAACCTTGTTATTGTCTTTATTTGAAGAGTAAGTATGGTGTAAGCAGACGTGCATGGATGCCGAGTTGACAAGGTGTGGATTTGTGATGGTTAATTGTATGTGTCACTTTTGCTAGGCATGGTACTCAGATGCTTGGTCAAAAGCCAGCCTAGATGTCGCTGTGAAGGTATTTCTTAGATGTGATTAACATTTAAATCCATAGATTTTTGAGTAAAGTAGATTATCCTTCATAATGCGGGTGGGCTTCATCAATTAAAGGTCCTTAGAAAAACAGACTGAAGTCCCTGGAAGAAAGAGGAGATGCTGCCTCCTTCGGACCCAAGCTGCACATCAGTTCTTTCCTGGGTACAGCCTGCTGGCTGGCCCGGCAAATTTTAGACTTACTAGCCCACACAATTTCATGGAGTGGTTCCTTATCATAAATCTCTCTGTCTCTTTGTGTGTGTGTGTCTGTCTGTGTGTGTCTCTCTCTCTCTCTGTCTCTCTCTCTCTCTCTCTGTCTGTCTCTCTCTCTCCTATTGGTTCTGTTTCTCTGGGAAGCCCTGACTAATGCAGATTTTGATATTAGTGGCCTAAAAGTTCAGGAAGGATTATATTCCCACACACATGCCTTGTAGCACCCACAGCCTAAATACCTAAATACCTCCCTCAGCAAAATGACACATATTAACGTGTGCATATTTTAACATGCCGTGAACTTCCATGCTGTTTACAAAAAGTTGAAACTGCAAATTCACTCTGTAAATGCTTCAGGGTATGCTGCATTTTAATTTGGGAATACAGAGTTTTAAAGACTCAAGTCCAAAACATACATTGGATACCTTCTGTATTAGTTTTCTCAAGTTGCCATTACAAACTACCACAAACTTAGTGACTTAAGGAAAATACCCTTTTATTATCCAGAGTTTTGCAGGTTGGGCATCCAGTGGCTTGGCTGGTTTCTCTGCTTCACATATCACAAAGCCAAAGTCAGAGCGTCCGCAGCACTGTGCTCCTCTTACTGGAGGACCTGGGAGAGAATTTTCTTCCTGGCTCTTTCTGACTGTGGGCAGAATTCTGCTCCAGGTGGCTGTGAGACAGACATCGCTGCTTCCCTGCCAGCTGTCAGCTAGGGGTTGTCCTGAGCTCCTATAAGCCTCATTCTATTCCTTGCATATAATCACTTACATCTCAGAATTAGCCAAGTGTGGGGTGAGTCCTTCTGACACTTCAGATCTCTGACTCTCCTTCTGTTCTGTTTCTTTTGCTTCTGTTTCTGCCACAAGGCATGGACTGACTCCTCTGCTTTCTTATTCTGCATTTAAAGTCCCATGCGATGTCTCTGGACCCACCCAGAGAATTTAGGATCTTCTCCCTATTTTAAGATCAGTTAATTAGCAACCTTCATTCCATCAGCAGAATACCTTTCACTGTGTACAGTAACATATTTATGTTCCCTAGATTAGGCCGGGGAGGTCTTTGAAGCACCATTATTCTGCCTACTGTATTGCTATGAGCAAGGACTGTAAATGTCCTCGCCTTTAAGTCTTTTATAGACTCACTGGGGAAAAGAGCCACATACATGTAGTAGATCATTTGTAACATTATCTCAAACCATAACATGGGGTTGCAGAGCGGAACCCGGCTTCATGAATCACACCACAAAAACGGAGCGGGAGCTGTCTGAGTCACCACTCTCTGGCACAGAACACCCAGCACACAGTAACATACACAGCAGGTACTCAATGGTTAAAGGGATGAATGGATATAGAGGAAAACTGAGTAGGAGACTTAAAAAATGGAGTCGTCTCCTCAATGGGATTTAACATCCTTTATTTACCTGTTTATTCCATAATTATATATTGGAAGTCTAATCTATACAACTGCCAGTGCTGGGCCTTAGAGATGCAATTGTGATTAGACCAGGGGGCCTTTACCCACACGGAGCTTATAATTTGACATTAATCATATCAGCAGATGAATAATCTCACAGTTAAAACATGCACCAAATATAATGAAGGCACTTACTAGATGGCACGTGAGAGATAAGGGAAAGCCACTCTGAGGACGCTGATTTTTGAGTGGAAAGCTGGATAAAGGAGGATTGTCTTAGGCTGGCTTCTGGCAGGGATCTGTGTGCTGGAAACCTGCTGGAAAGCGCTTGGGATCAACGCCATAGGGGGAGTACAGGAAGTTGGAGAGGCACAGAAAGAAGCTGGGATGCAGATGCAAGCAGGGCCCAGCTGATCCTGCAAAGAGCTCTGAAGCTGGGTGGCCCTTCCAAGGTGGCTGGGGCTGGGGGCCTGGGCTTTATACCCACCCCCGTGAACCAGTCACCTTGATTCTGTGTGTTAAGTCATAATGTACCTCAGTTTTCTGGAGGTGAGACCTCTGTTTTCAATGGTTGGAAAAGCTCATGACTATAAGCATCAGATGCATTCGTATTGCCAACTGTATCATTTTGTATGCGTCAGAAAATCCTTTCTTGCTTAGAGGAATGGGGGAGCATAATGAATCAGTTTAAATTTGCTCCCATCACCACCTTCCACCGGGTTCTGAGCTTTTACTTATTTCCTTATATCATCATAGCCAGTCCAACTTAAACTGTGATATTCCACCCTCCCCCTGCCTGGAGTGTTTGGTCTTTTCATTCAGGGTAACTTGCCTCTATTGTAATGGGGTGATATGATATGAGGAGATCATGCAAAACAAAGGCTCTGTCATTTATCTTAGCTGTGACTATTTATCTAATATTTACTGACCATCAAAGCCCTCACTCTGTATGGAAAACAGCCTTCAATATTGTCTGACACCAACTGGGTATCCTACAATTTAGTTTGATTCAGGCACTAATTACCTGGAGTTCGTATCAGATCCCATGAGTTAAAGGGCAAGATCCCTAACAAGACTGCTCTTATGTCAGACACCAGCAGTGAGTGGGGTCCCAGGCTTCCCACACTTCTGCCTGGATAGCTGCAAATTCAAGATAGCACACCCTCCTTGGGTTTGATAATCTGCTAGAACCTCTTACAGCATTCAGGAAAATGCCATACTTAACAATTACCATTTTACCAAAAAGGACATGAGTGAACAGCCAGATGCACAGGTACATGTGGCAAGATCCGGAAGGGTCCTGAGCACAGGAGCTTCCAGCCTTGTGGATCTGGGTTGTGCCGCCCTCCGGGCGTACCCATATATTCACCAACCAGGAAGCTGTCTGAGTTGCATTGCTCAGAGTTTTTATCTAAGTTTTATTACGGAGGCGTGATTGATTAAATCATTGGCCACATGACTGAGATCTATTTCTAGCCCCTCTTCCTTCCCCAGAGGTCAGGGGGTGAGGCTGAATGTCCCCCTCCTCTCATCACATGGTTGGTCTTTCCAGAAGGCCAGCCCCTCCTTGATAATCATCTGAGGGCCCACCATAAGTCACCTCATTAGCATAAACTCAGGTACTGCAGAAGTAGAAAGGGTCTGTTGTGAGTAACTGAAGACATTTCTATCACTCTGAAAACTCCAAGAGGTTTTGAAGCTCTGTCCCGGAACCAGGAACAAAGACCAGATATATTCTGCATTGTATCATGTAATCAAATACATGCAATTTATTTGGCAGGGAATTTCCAGGCTCCCTGCTATACAGTCCCTAACAGAGTTAGGAGAATGATAAAGAGGTAAATAACATCCTCCCTCCCACGATGCTCCCCAATGCCTTGCAGAGACTTGTGCTACAGAATTCCCTCACTGTGGACCAACCATCCTAAGCCCAGATAGTTTCTGTAGTGTCCATGGAAACTTAGGCATCATCGTCCTGTGCTCACACTTCACCTGTCTTCTCCCTCCTGGTTTATGTCTTCCTGCTCAGGTATGTGTAAGGCAGATAAACATGTCACTTCCCAATTAAATAGCAAACAGAAGAATATAAATTCCATTTACCCACTTTACAGGCACTCCCAACCTCTGTGAGTGATACGTTCTCAGCCCCCCGCCCCTTACTTGGGTCTAGGGGGACAGACAACTCGAGCCTTAGCACTCTCTAGTAACCCAGGACAATTTTCTCTTTCTCCCCACTTCCCCCAATTTTGTTTTATACGTTGGGAAGTTGTGGGGACTGGAGTAATGATTGAGAGTAGCAGAACTTAAGCCTTTAATGGGAATCTGGTTCCCATAGTCTTGAAAAAAGTTTAAGGATGTGATACTTTGATCCTCAATCTTGAATCATAGAAACAAAGTCTAGGGCAATAGTAAAAAGTCCCTATCAAAACTCACTTGCATGTACCTGGCCACCCGGCTGGCCCTTCTTAGTATTTTTTTTCTGATTATAACAATTACACAGGTTCCCATATATTTTAAAAATAAAATAATAGATTGAAAGGTAGAAAAATCTCTCCTTATCCCAACACTCAAAAGATGGTGATAGAAATATTTCTCTTTTTCCTACTCAAGATCTGAAATTTATGAGGGAAACAAAGGAGGAAAACAACAAAATCTCATTTGTCAAAGATAAAATTCATGTGAGACAATGCTGTTTATATCTATGGGCAGATACTCCTCATAACTTAAGCTAAGAATCCAGTAGGCTTACCCAGACAGTCCTAGGCATCACAGGACCCCAATACCACCTCTGTACCCTACCAAAGATTAGGGCCACCCATGCATACTTTATGGCATAAAGGTCTGATTTTATTATCTATGTCTTTGTAACTAATTATCACAGATTTTGCAGCTTAAAATGGCATACACTTATGTTCTTACAGTTTTTGTGGGTCCAGGAGTCCAGACATAGCTTACTGAGGTCCTGGCTTCAACCATCTGAAACAAACAGCTTTCTCAATGTCTTCCTCAAGGCTGCAATCAAAGTAGTAGCCATGGCTTAGGTCTCATCTGAAGGCTCAAGTGGGGATCTGCTTCCAAGTTCATGTAATTGTTGTCAGGAGTCAACTTGTGGCCTCACTTACTCTTTGGCTGTTGGCCAAGTAAAGGTCACCCTTGGTACCTTGCCATGAGGATGTCTGCAACATGGCTGCTTGCTTGCAAGTGTCGTTTGTTTGTTTTGTTTTGTTTTAAAAAAAAGAAAGAAAAGAAAACATGCAAGTGGAGAAGGCAACAGAGAGAGTTGAAAGATGGAAGTTATAATATCATGTGAGCTTATCAAGGAAATGATGTCCCACTATCTTTGCCATATTTAAGTGATTAGAAGAAAGTCACAGGACCTACCTACACTCAAGAATAGGAGATTCCACAAGGGCATGAATATCAGGGGACAGGATCACTGGGGGCTATCTTGGAATCTGCCCACTACAGGGTGTTTCTTAGGAACTGTCAGCTCCCAACAAAAAGTACAGGAAAGGGTAGAGCTGTATATGCCTAGTTCCCACTTCCAAACTCATTATCAAGTGTAAGTCATTCCTTCTATCCCAAATTAAAACAAGGGAAGACTAGGAAATAGGAGAAGTGTTACCTCAACAGGTCTGATCTACGTAGAAGGAAACATCGGGAATGGTGAGAAAAACCCTCCCTCACAAAAAAAAATTAATATAGTGATAAATCTCCTTGTGGCCTATTTTTTTTTCTCTCTGCTAATATGTGCTGAAGCATTTTTCTGTAACTAGAAACATCTGAATGTACTGTTTAATAACTTAGCCTTTATTCTGATCTATATGTGTTGATTTTTTTCTGTGTTACTCAGTATTCTTCTGCTATGTGCCTTTTAGTGGTCTGCACTCTCTATCACATGGCCAGCCCAGTAACTGTGTAGCCAGCCCTCGATGGCCCATTTGACTCTGGTCCCTTACAGCCTCCAAGCTGCATCAGCAGCATAGCTCCCTCCACCATATTTCATTGATGACAGAAGAGAAGGCAGGCAGCATGCTGCAGCACAAGGGCTGTGGGAGCCCAGAAGTCTGCAAAAAGGCCTCCACTCCCTTTTCAGGATATCAGGTGATAGAGATTGAGCAAATGCTCTGTGGTGTTATCAGTGCCCAGAACTGGTCTGATAAGCAGGGAAAGACGCCAAGAAGGACAGGGTCTTGGAGATGCAGGTAACATGTGCACCCAGCCCAGCCATCACCCTTTTCCCATTCAAATCTTGAACTTGCCAAGGTAGCCCTTTATTGAAGAGTGCTTAATTACTTCCGGCCACCTCCATGAACATGAACATGTCAGTAATCTTTCAAGTCTTCTCATTAGCAGTGAGGTTGGGAACGTCAGCCCCGACCCAGTGCAGCACAGCAGCCCTCACTGAGCTGTCGCTGCCACTTCAGGAAAGTGTCTTAATGTGAGGGCTGCCTTTTCACAGATTAGTGACGGGGATGAAAGGAGGCAACAGTGAAGCCATCTGGGGATTCAGACATTCTGGGTTAATTCTTTGTGAGAAAATGTAAAATGGCCACATTTTGCACTGTATTAGCAGGCCATCTATCACAACTGTTTAAGTGTGGAATTTTTTAAAAAATTATGAAAGAACCACAGAAGATGCATCAAGCTAAATTGAAATTTTTATCTGCAGCTTACCACATAGTGTCATATATACACTCTTACTTTATGTCTTCCTGTCTTGATACAACCTTAAAGGAAGTAGCCTTCATCTCCCTTTATTCATATTTCTAATTGAGGCCCTTGACTTTTTTAAAAAACACCAAAATTCCTTACCATGTAGAAGTTTTTCAGAGATGTCGCAGACCACATGAAGAGTGTTGGGGTCCCCAGATGCTGCATGAATTAAGCTTGCGACAGAGGCTGTGAATCCCCAAACCGTCATAGGTCATTCTACTGGCCTGAACCCTGCAATTGCCAAACCCAGGCAAGGATACGACATTGTCTCATGTTTAAATTCCAAGGTCATGGAGTCAAGGTCAATGTGAGTAGAACCTGCAAAAACAGTACAAAGTGACCATGTTCTCAAGGTTAAAAGTCAAGAGAAGGACCTCAGCTTCCTTTGAAATGGCTCCACCCAGGTCTCAGATGTGTGTCAGCTTAGGGTTTCCTTCCACTTGGAATAGTGCCAGGAGGCCTTGATCTCAGACAAAATACCTTGAGGCCTCTTCCTTATTAGGGGCTGGGGCTACACACCTAACTCCTTCATCCTTCTTTGGAGCTTGGAGGTTGTTCTCTTCTCTTCTGGCTGCAAGGAACCCCTGCATTTTCCCCATGAAGCCATGATTACCTCAACTCTGTGTTTCCTAAAGCTTAACTCCCAGCATACCAGGTTGCAAAGAGAGCTCACTTCTGACCCTGAGACCTGCCACATCACACACTCCAGAGAGACAGCTGCCTTCATGAACAACTTTCTCAAACCTGCTGAAATGTTGCTTTCATACTCGTGTTTGTTCACCCTTCACAATTCCCATGATTTGAATATATTTCTACGCTAATGTATCGTTTTGTTTTCATGCTGCTAATAAAGACATACCCGAGACTGGGAAGAAAAAAAGTTTAGTTGGACTTATAGTTCCACGTGGCTGTGGAGGCCTCAGAATCATGGTGGGAGGCAAAAGGCACTTCTTACATGGCAGCGGCAAGAGAAAATGAGAAGGATGCAAAAGCAGAAACCTCTGATAAAACCATCAGATCTCATGAGACTTATCCACTACCATGAGAACAGTATCGGGGAAACTACCCCTATGATTCAGATTATCTCTTACCTGGTCCCTCCCACAACACATGGGAATTATGGGAGTACAATTCAAGATGAGATTTGGGTGGGAACACAGAGCCAAACCATATCAGCTAATATCCAACAATACTGCAATTTGCATAACTATCTGCCCTGCTTCAGATGACAAAACTGATGTTCATTGGTATGATTTGGCTGTGCCCCCATCCAAATCTCTACTAGAATTGTATCTCCTAGAATTTCCATGTGCTGTGGGAGGGACCCAGTGGGAGATAATTGAATCATGGGGGTCAGTCTTTCCTGTGCTATTCGTGTGATGGTGAATAAGTCTCATGAGATCTGATGGGTTTATCAGGGGTTTCTGCTTTTACTTCATCTTCATTTTTCTCTTGCCGCCACCATGTAAGAAGTGGCTTTCGCCTCCTGCCGTGATTCTGAGGCCTCCTCAGCCATGTGGAACTGTAAGTCCAATCCAACCTCTTTTTCTTCCCAGTCTCAGGTATGTCTTCATCAGCAGTGTGGAAACAGACTAATACAGTAAATTGGTACCTGTAGAGTGGGGCACTGCTGAAAAGATACCTGAAAATATGGAAGCAACTTTGGAACTGGGTAACCGGCAGAGGTTGGAACAGTTTGGAGGGCTCAGAAGAATACAGAAAAATGTGGGAAAGTTTGGAACTTCCTAGAGACTTGAATGGCTTTGCCCAAAATGCTGATAGTGATATGGACAATAACGTCAGGCTGAGGTGGTCTCAGATGGAAATGAGGAACTTGTTGGGAACTGGAGCAAAGGTGACACTTATAATATTTTAGCAAAGAGACTGGCAGCATTTTGCCCCTGTCCTAGAGATTTGTGGAACTTTGAACTTGAGAAAGATGGTTTAGGGTATCTGGTGGAAGAAATTTCTAAGCAGCAAAGCATTCAAAAGATGACTTGGGTGCTGTTAAAGGCATTTCATTTTATAAGGGAAGCAGAGCATAAAAGTTTGGAAAATTTGCAGCCTGACAATGTGATAGAAAAGAAAATGCCATCTTCTGAGGAGAAATTTGCATAAGTAACAAGGAGCCAAATGTTAATTCCCAGGATAATGGGGAAAATGTCTCCAGGGCATGTCAGAGGTCTTCATAGCAGCCGTTCTTATCACAGACCTGGAGGCATAGGAGGAAAAAATGGTTTCATGGGCCAACACCAGGGTGCCCATGCTGTGTGCAGCCTAGGGAGTTGGTGCCCTGCATCCCAGCCACTCCAGCCATGACTAAAAGGGGCGAAGGGACAGCTCAGGCCATGGCTTCAGAGGGTGCAAGCCCCAAGCCTTGGCAGCTTCCATGTGGTGTTGAGCCTGTGGGTGCACAGAAGTCAAGAATTGAGGTTTGGGAATGTCCTCCTAGGTTTCAGGAGATGTATGGAAATGCCTGGATGCCCAGGCAAAAGTTCGCTGCAGGGGCATGGTCCTCATGGAGAATCTCTGCTAGGGCAGTGTCAAAGGGAAATGTGGGGTCAGAGGCCCCACACAGAGTCCCTACTGGGGCACCACCTAGTGGAACTGTGAGAAGAGGGCTACTGTCCTCCAGACCCCAGAATGGTAGATCCACTGACAGTTTGCATCATGTGCCTACAAAAGTCACAGACATTCAACACCAGCCCATGAAAGCAGCTGGAATGAAGGTTGTACCCTGGAAAGCCTCAGGGGTGGAACTGCCCAAGACCATGGGAATGCATCTGTTGCATCAGCATGACCTGGATGCAAGACATGGAGTCAAAGGAGATCATTTTGGAACTTTAAGATTTGACTGCCCTGCTGGATTGTGGGCTTTCATGGGGCCTGTAGCCCCTTTGTTTTGGCTAATTTCTCCCATTTGGAATGGCTATATTTCCCCAATGCCTGTACCCCCATTGTATCTAGGAAGTAGCTAGGCTTTGATTGCACAGGCTCATAGGCAGAAGGGACTTGCCTTGTCTCAGATGAGACTTTGGACTGTGAACTTTGGGTTAATACTGAAATGAGTTAAGACTTTGGGGGACTGTTGGGAAGGCATGATTGTTTTTGAAATGTGAGGACATGAGATTTTGGAGGGGCCAAGGGTAGAATGATATGGTTTGGCTGTGCCCCCCCACCAAATCTCAACTTGAATTGTATCTCCCAGAATTCCCATGTGTTGTGGGAGGGTCTTAGCTGGAGGTAATTAAATCATGGGGGTCAGCGTTTCACATGCTATTCTCATGATAGTGAATACATCTCACAATATCTGATGGGTTTATCAGGGATTTGCGCTTTTGCTTCCTCTTCATTTTTCTCTTGCTGCCACCATGTAAGAAGTGCCTTTCCCTGCGCCCCATGATGCTGAGACCTCCCCAGCCATATGGAGCTATAAATCCAATTCAACCTCTTTTTCTTCCCAGCCTCAGGTATGTCTTTATCAGCAGTGTGAAAATGGACTAATACATTCATCAAGGTTAAAGATTGACCCAAGGCCACATATAGGTGACCAGCTGTCTCAGTTTCCCTGGGACTCTCTCAGTCTCCACATTGAAAGTCCTGCATCCTGGGGACTCCTCACACAGCAGGAAATTAAAAAGCTGAGATTTAAACTTGGGCCCTCTCCAGGCTATCCACTGTGGGCTTCTGCCTGATTTCTAGCACTGTTCTTTACAGTAGTATGGACTTCACCTTCATTGCTGTTGGATACTTCTTCACCGTGTTAGTCATGAGTAGTGCACATCTACCCACCCCAAGATCCTGCTCTCCTGGGGCCTCTTTTTTTTTTTCTTTGATATAGAGTCTCTCTCTGTTGCCCAGGCTGGAGTGCAGTGGCGAGATCTCAGCTCAGTGCAGCCTCCACCTCCCAGGTTCCAACAGTTCTCCTGCCTCAGCCTCTTGAGTAGCTGAGACTACAGGCATGCACCACCACACCTAGCTAATTTTTTTTTTTTTTTTTTTTTTTTTTTTTTTTTTTTTAGTACGGACTGGGTTTCATCATGTTGGCCAGGCTGGTCTTGAACTTTTGACCTCATTTGATTCACCTGCCTTGGCTTCCCAAAGTGCTGGGATTACAGGTGTGAGCCACCATGCCAGAGCCTCTTTTCTGCTTCTTTCTGGACGTATAGGAAGTGAGTATGGGATTCTTGCCCATGTTCACTCAGGCTCTCTGAACAGGCTTCTTGAGGATGTTTTTTAAAATCTCCTTTGGCTTTTATTTGAGAGTCTAGATTCAGGCAACACCTCATTTGATGCCATAGAATGAGTGTTCCCATGAGCTGAGCAGAGGAGGTGGGGTTTATAGAGAGAAAAGGCCTGAGGAAAGCAGATACAGAGAACAAAAATCTGATGGGTAGTTTAAAAGTGACTGTCCTTAAAGGGCTAAAACAGAAGGGACTTCCCTATCCTGCCAGCTTAGGTAAGCTTGGCCCCTTCTGATCCATTGCTGTGGAGCTCCTAGTTTTTAAGGAACAGGAACCTGGATCTTATCAGCAATCTACCATCCCCGTTCCTCCTCCTGGCTAGATAAGTATGAAAGCGTCATTGATTTGTCCAGTTTCAGAATAATGAAAAGCACAAAAGCCCATGGCAGACCAGAGGTGTAATGTCCATGGCTCAGGGAGGCTCACACACAATCTCTTCCTCATTTGTTAATTCCTGGCATAAAGGAAAAAGAGAGACTATGAGCTCCACCCACCTAAGCGAGCCTCCCTGCCAGCACCAACCCTGAAAGGGTGAAAAGCAGAGATTCATGTCATCAAAACACTTGCAAAATTCCCCTGACTTGCTGCTTGATAGGCCTCCCTTCAGGGAGAGGTGCAGGTGGAGGCATCTTCAGAAGCCATCCCAGCCCCGGGAACCTCATGCGAAATCACCCAGCAAGCTATGATGGACTGGGCTACCCTCTCAGCTTTCCTTTTTTCTCATGTGTCAGAGAGGAGCTAGGGTAAATCCTGAAAACATGAAACAGTTCCCAGACACGAGGACTTGCCCTTGTTAGGATAACAGGCCCCTTTTTGTCCTAAAGAGGTCCTCCCACTCAGAGGGATGAGCAAACTCAGGGCTGCTGGCTGCCTCTCCAGACCAAATGCACAGCTTTGATTTAAGGACTTGCACCTTAATCACCCATCATGTGTCATTACCCCAACAGGCGGCAGCAGCCGTAAGACACAAGTGCCAATAAATTGTGCTGAAAGTTACTGGAGTGATTCTTTGTTTATTTTCTCTCACAGCTATTCTGTGACACTTGGGCTGGCATTGGAACAACATGGTTGCCACATGTAAGGAAGGGGTTCAAGGTGACTGGGGGAAGCAGGAGCATCCCTCCCTCCCTCCCTCGATTTTCTTCCTGTAGATTCCCAGTGCCTCGCTCAGCTCTCTAGGAAGTCAAGCCCTTGGCAGTCGGCGGAAATGAGCACTGTCTCATTAGCTAATTGCCAGTACAGATTTTCAAGTACTTCTGCATGCAAATCATAACAGCACTGAGCTTTCTTGCTTTTTAAAACTCCTCTTTCACCCATCCCACCCCCTGGCTTCTGGAGGAAAATGAGGTCTGTTACAAACTGCACATCAGATTACTTCTGGGGCTTTTCTGGCTCACGTTTCCCACCCTCGCCGCCCCAACCTGAGCAGAGCTCCTAACTACCTACCTACCACTGCTGTGAGGGACCATGAAGCAGAAGGTGCTACTTAGCTTTGGTCCAGAACACCTTCAGCAGCTTTCCTCGTGCGCCCCATCCCTTCAGGATTCATCTCAGACCTCTTAGATCTGCATCACAGAAAACAAAATGCAAACCAGGCACAGGGACTTAAGAAAATGATTGATTAAATGGAGAGTAGTCTACTGCTGCACAATTGTGACTTTTTTTTTTTTTTTTTTTCCGGAGACGGAGTCTCATTCTGTCACCCAGGCTGGAGTGCAGTGGCACAATCTGGGCTCACTGAAACCTCCTTCTCCTGGGTTCAAGCGATTCTCCTGCCTCAGCCTCCCAAGTAGTTGGGATTATAGGTGTCCACCACCATGCCCAGCTAATTTTTGTATTTTTAGTAGAGATGGGGTTTCTCCATGTTGGCCAGTCTGGTCTCGAACTCCTGACCTCAAGTGATCCACCCGCCTTGGCCTCCCAAAGTGTTGGGATTACAGGCGTGAACCACTCTTCCCGGTCACAATTGTGAATTTTAATAACAGTTTGGCTCCAATCAGTATGATAAAAGTCATAAGATATTAGTTCACCGTGACAGAATGGTCCATTTCCACATGGCAGTAGACCAGTTTAAAAATGGTCTCCTCCTTGTGTTGTCTAAATGGGGAAGGAACAACCCATTTGGGCATCAAGGTGCATTTATTTTCCACTTGTCTTTAGCTGTGCTTTCTGGGGTTGACAGGACTGAAATGAACATCACAGATGGGAAATGACCCCGTCACCGTCAGAGGTCCCTCCCTCTGATGCCTGTGTGGATCACTGCCCCGGTAGACCGTCTCCATGACACTGGGGGAAATTAATGTGATGACAAGCAATGGTGGCTGCTGGCAAGGGTGTTCCATTCCTCTTTCTTTGCATTATCCTTTTCTCCTCCAGAAATGCTCACCGAATTCAGCAATCACACCTGGGCATTCTCTGAAGTCATGGAATACAGTGCTGAAACAATGTGTGGAGGAGCAAAAAATCTAGGATTTTAGAAGGCTGCCATGTCACAGGCAGGGCTGGCTTTATGGGGGAGCAAACGGTGCAGTCACACAGGGCCCCACACTCAGAAAAAACCGATGCTTTTATTTATTTACTGCTGTCATCATCTTGCAAATCTTAGTTTTTGAATGAGAAGCTTCACATTTCCATTTTGCACTGATTATGTCTCCTGTACAGGTAATATGTGTGAAAATATTCTTGTTAAAAGTGCTCATTTCTTTCCTTTTTTCACTACCTTTCACTATTGAAAAAGAAAAAGAAATGCATTTAAGAAGACAGTCTGTGCTTTTTTACCAAAGCAAAACAATCCAATCAAGGAAATGCTCAATCCATCCCCTCCCACAAAGACTGAAATTTTATTTTTAAAAAAATCACTTTATTATTTTTTTCCTTTTTCTTTATGATTGTACATCTGCTTTAATTCTAAATTGCAAAATGTAACAGGAGTATTGCAGGGAGACCTCTTCTCCTGAGCTTTCATGTTCCAAAGTCAGTCTAAATACATGAGAACATTCACTGTAACAGAATCCCAGGGGTGGTCCCAAAGCACAGACCAGATCACTCAGCTGTGAGGTGGGAGACTCAGATATCATTAGCTGTAAATAGAAAACAGGAAGCAAAGCCCCAGACACAGGGGAGTCTTATGTTACTAGAATAAAATGGGTAATAAGGGGTCACCTTCAAGGACAGAAGTTGTTGAGAGAAGGACCTGGTCGTGGCTGGAAGAGCTGTACGTGAGGTGGAAATGAGTGGTGGGAAACAGATCCAGAAAAGTCCTGTGCCAGTGAGGATAGAGGGTTCTGCTCAGTACGCAGCAACCTGCTTCTTAGCTGCTTAAACAAAGAGTTGTTTATCACTCACACAATATGCCCACTGTGGGGTTGGGGGCAGGGGGATCTGCTTATTGTGGGCTCAGGATCCCAGACTGACAAAACAAGCACCATTTCAAAGTTGCATGTCACAGTGTCAATAAGAGTGGCCTGGATGGTGCCATCATAACAAGGCTTCCAGCCTGGAAGCCACACATGGCACTTCTGCTCACAACTCATTCACTGAAGGCTACACATGGTGCTTATGCTCACAGCTTATTTGCTGGAAGCTCATGTAGTACTTCTGCTCACAGCTCATTGGCTGGAAGACACACATGGTACCACATGGTACTTCTGCTCACATTTCCTGGGTCAGAAGACACATATGGCACTTCTGCTGACAGCTCATTGGTTGGAAGATACACATGGCACTTCTACTCACAGCTCATTGGCTAAAGCCAGTCATATGGCCCCATCCAACCACAAGGGACCAGGCAGAACAAGTTTCCCAGGTGCTCAGAAGGTAGATGAGCGGAAACATGTGACAGACAGCACTCACGATCACCACAGAGCCTAAAACATTACTTTATTTACTTGATTATTTTGACCGTTCATCCATTTGTTCATTCATTCCTTCAGGAGTCCATCTAACAAAGTCATTTTCTTTCTTTTAAAAAAAAAAAAAAAACTTTTAGGTTCAGGGGTACACATGCAGGTTTCTTCCATAGGTAAACACATATCACTGGGGTTTGTTGTACAGATTATTTTATCACCCAGGTATTAAGCTCAGTACCCAATGGTTGTCTTTTCTGCTCCTTTCCCTCCTCCCACCCTCCCCACTCAAGTAGAACCCAGTGTCTGTTGTTTCCTTCTTTGTGTTTATAAGTTCTCATCATTTAGCTCCCACTTATAAGTGATAACATGTGGCATGTGGTTTTCTGTTCTTGCATTAGTTTGCTAAAGATAATGGCCTTCAACTCCATCGATGTCCCTACAAAAGACGTGATCTCATTCTTTTTTATGGCCGCATGGTATTCCATGGTGTATATATACGGCAGTTTCTTTATTCAATCTGTCATTGATGGGCATTTAGGTGGATTCCACATCTTTTCTATTCTTAATAGTGCTTCAGTGAACATTTGCTTGCATGTGTCTTTATGGTAGAATGATTTATATTCCTCTGGATACATACCCAGTAATGGGATTGCTGGGTTGAATGGTAGTTCTGCTTTTTAGCTTTTTGAGGAATCACCATACCATATTGCTTTCCACAATGATTGAACTAATTTACACTCCCACCAACAGTGTATGAATGTTCAGTTTTCTCTGCAACCTTACCGGCACCTGTTATTTTTTTTAGACTTTTTAATAATAGCTATTCTGACTGGTATGAGATGGTATATCATTGTCGTCTTGATTTGCATTTCTCTAGTGATTGGTGATATTGAGCTTTTTTCATATATTTGTTGGCTACATGTTTGTCTTCTTTTGAAAAGCATCTGTTCATATCCTTTGCCCAATTTTTAATGGGGTTGTTTGTTTTTCCCTTGTAAATTTGTTTACATTCCTATAGATACTAAATATTAGACCTTTGTCAGTTGCATAGTTTTCAAATATTTTCTCACATTCTGTAGGTTGTCTCTTTACTCTGTTGATAGTTTCTTTTGCTGTGCTGAAGCTCTTCAGTTTAATTAGATCCTACTTGTCAATTTTTGCTTTTGTTGTGATTGCTTTTAGAGTCTTTGTCATGAAATATTTGCCTGTTCCTAGGTCCAGGATGGTATTGCCTAGGTTGTCTTCCAGGGCTTTTACAGTTTTGGGTTTTACATTTAAATCTTTAATCCATCTGGAGTTGATTTTTGCGTGTGGTGTAAGGAAGGGGTCCAGTTTCAATCTTCTGCGTACGGTTAGCCAGTTCTCCCAGCACCATTACCATTAGTCATTTTCTGTGGGTAAGATGTGATAGATCTTGATAGAATCATCAGGATCTCTGCACCCAAGAAGCTTAGATATGGTGGGGAAGCTACAAATACCTGTTACAAGGGGATCAGTGGCACTCGTCACAAATGGCATGCATGCCTGTCAGGCAATTTGTTATTGGAATGTAGAGGAGGAATCCAATATTTTCACACAGGGCAATCAATGGATACTGCACAAAGGAGGGGGCATTGGAGCTATGTAGTAAAAACTATGCAGTTTCAGTAAGCAGAGGAAAGGACGGGAATGGGGAAGAAATTTCTGACATTGGGAACAGCCTGAACAAAAACGTGAAGGCTGGAAAATATAAGGTAATTTAGGTAGAAAAGGCTCACATGTAATTCACTGTCATCTTGTGGAAGACACAGAATGCTATTAAAGGCAGACAAAGTGTAATCCAAGATGTATTTGCAGAAAAGTAATGAATATCTATCTATCTGTATGCAAGATACATTAGAATGGGTAGAGTTAGAATAGAAAAGGAGGCAAAAAAAAAAAAAAAAAAAAAAAACCAGTGAGGAAGCTACTGCAGTAGCTAGATAAGAGGGGATGAAGGCCTACTGAACAAAGGTAGAATGGGAATAGAAAGGAAAGGTGGAGGTCCCTGTGGGACAGGCAGGTAGATGTGGCCAGCCTTCACCTGCCTGGCTTGAATGTTAATCGGGAGGGCTTCCTCCTGTGGTTGTATAGATCGGTGCTGCCCAAAGTGGGGTCTGGGGACCCACCGCATCTGCATTGCAGGGGGCCCAGGGGCAGATCTTGTGAGAAATGCAAATTCCCCTGGGTTGTACCCTGGCAATTTGTGTTCCAACAAGATCTCTGGGTGTTTTGTGTGCACATGAAGGTCTGAGCAGCTATGGTAGAGGCGATGTGCAGTGAATCTAGCCTCCCTATCCAGTGTTCCTGCCAGGACCTGATGGAAGTATAACTGAGATGCTCGCCTGGAGAGGCCCCTGCGTATGTACCCCCTGGAATGGGCAGGTGTTAGACAAGCATGGAATACATTAAAAAGTAACCATCCTAAAGCATTCAGGGTTACTGTATAAAATATTTCCAGCCCGGTTTTCTAAGTCTTTTGCATACAACTTTTGAGTGCTTTGGGAACTCTTTCTGAGGCTGGATTAAGTTTCTACTGCTGTAACCTATGCCACTTCTGAGGGAAGAAGCCATATTGAGCCTCATCTGTCCTTCTAAATCAAGTGACTTTGGAAGTTTCCTATAAAATTCTAGGCACTTATGTTCAATTACTTTATCATATCTTCCCAGCATAGAAAAACTTCCTAACCCAGATGATCTCATTCACCTTATGCTGGAAAAAGCATTACATTTTATTTCCTCTCTTATAAAATTACTTTCTTTATCTCTTGAAAACTTAGAAGGAGCCTCTTCTTTCATCGTTGCTTTTTTTGATTTCTTCTTGCACAGTAAAGTGATTAACTCAAATTTAAGAAGGCAGGTATCCAAAAATAGCATATACAAAACAGGCCTACTTCTCTATCTTGTGATCTAAAGCAATGTTGTTATAGGTTATTATTTCCTTTTCCTAAGAAACTTGTGATATCAAAATTATATTTCCAGCATGTACTATCATTATTTCTTCTCACTTTGAAAAAAAAGGAAAAACTAATTTTCCTGTTCTTTGCTAGGGCCCGATTCATCTTTAAGTATCCGGGTATTTAAGGTTTTGACATCCTGAAACGCTGTGCATTCTTCTCTGCAGAAAAGACCTTTGGAGCAGACTTTCTAGAGATAGGGAGAAATGATGGTAATCCATCATAATGGCCTGATTCCACTCTGGACACATAACTGTTCTCCATCTCTGAAGCCATTCCTAGGGAAAGTTTAAAAGATCATAAGTTAGACGGTGAATGATACACATGATGCTCAAATTAGAATCTACTTTTTTTCAGAGTGGCATTGACGCTGCCTCTCAAGCAAAGAGAAGCAGGATCATCACCTTATATGGGGACTTATATCACTGTCAGATTCAGATGAGAAGGGCACAGTCATTCTCACCTGAAAGTGGTAGGATTCTAGAAAATTACGGAAAGTCTTTTAATTCCTCCCGAGTACTGCACTGTCACCTCTGGGAGCTGTCACCAAAAAGAATAGTTGCATGTCATTTAAGGCCATGTCAAGCCGGTACTTAGACATGGTTTAGGCATGGAAAAGGAAAGAGATGCTTCTGGATGGTGTTGCTTATTTAGGCAACACACAAATTAGTCATTTTCTTTTCCCCCAGCTGCTATGGCACATGTGAGAGAAGACGCAATGCTTTCCACTCAGAGCGCTTGGTTGTCTCTGTCTTCCTCCTTCTGAGAGGACACCTAGGCCAACATACCTGCTAGGTGGAGTTTAGCGGTGAACACCTCTATCCCCTCTCCTACTCGCTGTTAGGCCCAGATGTCCCCAAAAGCTATCCAGCTCTACCACCTCCCTGGTTTTAAAACACAGAGCCTTTGGCTGTGGATTATTGTGTAAAGAGGAGATTCTCATGAGCCAAAGTCTGGCCCATTTTCAGTTCCTCCACCTGGAGTGCCACATCCTGAGTATGCTTGTCCAAATATGTCCAAGGGTCGTTTTCACTGGAGATGAGAGAGCTAACTAAGAATGCAGATTCCCATTCCACTTTCCAGACCACAGAATCAGACTTGGGGGCTGGAGTCTTATATTTCTATTCCTGGAGGCACCCAGTTGATTCTTTGGAGTATTATGGTTTAAAAAATCCTCAGATTCTACCCCAGGGAGGGCCATCTTTCCTTCATTTCCTCCCACATATCCCCATATCTGATTCAATTTTTCTCCCAATCTTCCACAAGCTCTTTGGTAGACAGAAAACTATACACCCCCTCCCCAGGATGTCTGTAGCCCAACCCACGGAATCTGTGAATGTATTACTTTACATGACAAAATGCCTTTGCAGATGTGATTAAGGGAAAGATCTTGAGATGGAGAGATGACCCTGGATTAGCCAGGCAGGCCCAGTGTCATCACCAGGATCTTCATAACAGAGAGGCAAGAGGCCATGAACCAAGGAATTTAGGCAGCCCTTAAGAGACTTGGAAGACAGTGTGGCTATTCCTCAAGGATCTAGAACCAGAAATACCATTTGACCCAGCAATCCCATTACTAGGTACATACCCAAAGGATTATAAGTTATTCTACTATAAAGACACATGCACATGTATGTTTATTGCAGCACTGTTCACAATAGCAAAGACTTGGAACCAACCCAAATGCCCATCAGTAATAGACTTGATAAAGAAAATGTGGCACATATACACCATGGAATACTATGCAGCCATAAAAAAGGATGAGTTTATATCCTTTGCAGGGACATGGATGAAGCTGGAAACCATCATTCTCAGCAAACTAACACAAGAACAGAAAACCAAACACCACGTGTTCTCACTCATCAGTGGGAGCTGAACAATGAGAACACATGGACACAGGGAGGGGAACATCACACACCAGGGCCTGTCAGAGGGTGGGGGCCTAGGGGAGGGATAGCATTAGGAGATATACCTAATGTAGATGACAGGTTGATGGGTGCAGCAAACCACCATGGCATGTATATACCTATGTAACAAACCTGCATGTTCTCCACATGTACCCCAGAACTTAAAGTATAATAATAATAATAAACTTCTTTAGTGCCTCCAGAAGGAATACAGCCCTGCTGACACCCTTGAGTTCAGACTTCTCATCTCCAAAACTGTAAGAGAATAAATGTGCATTATTTCAAGAGTGAGAACTTATTCCAGCAGCCACAGGAAATGTCTACAACCTCCTAGCTTTGTTGCAGTGTTTGTTCAGCAAACCTGGACTGAACAGTCTCCACAGAATTGTTGAAGAGCTAGCGCTGGGATGTGTGATGGGCACTAGACACCTACCTTTCAGGAGTTGACGGGAGAGTTGGAAGACAGTTGTTCAGTCATTGTCAGAAGTAATAAAGCTGTCCATGGCTTCTCGCACTGTTCTCCTCATGTGCCTTGCCTGGTGACATTGGCAGCCTCCTCTCAGACACTAGTAAGATGAAACATCTTTGTTTCGGTTATCTGAGTGTAATTAGGTAGACACTGACTGCTTACTGTAGATCAGTCATGGTCCCAAGCTGTTTATCCATATTAACTCATTTAATAATTATTCCTCCACAATGATTTCAGTACTATTATTAACCTCATTTTAAAGATGAGGGAACTAATGCCTAGGGCTCAGTTGACCCCAGGCTTCTATGAAGCAGAGCCAGGTTGTGAGTCTGGGCAGCCTGACCCCTGGTGTCACTCAAAACCCGTCATGTGCTCTGTGTCTGAGGGCTGGGTGTTTCTTTCCTTTGACTACAGCACCTGAGATCTAGCTCCTTACCCCATGTATTTGTACCCTGGAAGTAACACCCTACAGAACTGG
Organism: Homo sapiens; assembly: GCF_000001405.40. Taxonomy (NCBI): domain Eukaryota; kingdom Metazoa; phylum Chordata; class Mammalia; order Primates; family Hominidae; genus Homo; species Homo sapiens. The sequence goes on along the minus strand of NW_025791814.1, from coordinate 376,107 downwards.
AAGTTCTGTACAGATTTTGGAAGGATAAACTAGCCCACATCCACGGAGACCCACCAGATAGAGAAGAGCCAGAAGCCCTGGGCTATGGTGACCTTACAACACGGTGAGCGTGAGCCAGAGCTCCGATGCTCTTCAGAGTGGGCACTTTGAGAAGCATATTTTGACTTATTCATTAATCAAATGTTGATTAAGTTTCCTCTTTGGGCCACACCCTGGGCTCAGTGCTTGGCATATCATACAAAGCAAGGCAACCTGCTACCTATACACAGAAAGCAGTTTCTAGAATGCAGGCAAGAAACATGGGCAGCTAAGTTCAAGGTTTAGAATTCTTCTTTAATACATGCAGCTGCATCGGCAGAAACAAGTTTATATATTTAAGTGTGCAGATGGAAGCAAGTGTACAGAGGAAATTTATTTCCAACCCACAGTGTTTCCACCCTCGATATGGTACTTGATAATACAGCCACATTGTACTTCATCACCTGGGGCTTTGGCAACTTTTGTTTTAGCAAAACAACCTTACTTTTGAATAATAGAAAAATTATCCATGCAACAGTGAGCTTTTTTTCTTAGTCCCGTTGATGATACAAACATACGTTTATTGCATCTAATGTGACGGAGCTCTCTCAGTAATGATGATGGCTGTTGGTGCAGTGTAAAGGGACCTGATTTTTTTTTTTTTCTGAAAAGGAATGCAAGCCTGGTGATGCATCATCATTAACTTCCTAGCTGCAATGTCCTTGGGAGTGAGGCCAAATTTGCTTGCAGATGAATACAGTTGAAGAAGTGTCGAATCAGGTGATCCTAAGGGGTGGAGAAGATACATTTTGAATGGAAGGCAGTGTTTGGCCCTCATGGGTGTGGTGCCATTTTCTTTCTTCCGAATGGTCCTTGAGAACTAAATTCTGTTTTCCATTATTTCAGCTGAGCTCTCTTGCTGAAGGGGGACAGGGTGATTAAAGAGCTCAGAAAGAGCCCTACACAGACCGAAGTAGCAGCTCTCTTAGTCTTAATTATCGGCCTTTATGTAACATTCTTCAAATTAAACATACAGCGAAAGAAAATAAATGCCTCCATATTTTGAAAACCTGACAGCTTCCTCTCTTGTGTTTTCCTACTTCATAAGGCAAAATGTGTTTCTTGTAGAGGCTAGTACAGATGGTTACTCTGGACCATACGGTTAACTGATATGAAACCACTGTCTGTTTTGAGTCTCATCTTTGTATTTTATGGTCACCATCTGGCCCCCTGACCATATCCCAATGCCTCAGTAGGGCTGAAGGTGGATAACTCCATTGTAATGTATCACTATTTTCATAGAATAATATAAACATTTGCTCTGCTAATTTTTGTTTCTTGCATGTAGTGTAGTAGATTCTTTAATTACACAGGCAAATAAATTACTCCTAATACTATTGCATTTCTGAAGAGGCTAGTTTCATACAAACGAGGAAGAGCTGATAGTGATAGTGATTTTTATTAACAAGGTCTGCTATCATTGCAGACATAGGGCAACTAAGTCATAATGCCCTGATATGCTTACGAAGATCTGGAGCTAGACGGAGACCAAGAAGCCTCCTGTGACCTGCCTCTACCCTGGGCTTCGGGGATACATATTTTACTCACATTATATTTTTAGGAAAAACAACCCAGGGGAATCATTCAGGGTACATGAAGTTCTATCAGCAAAAAAAGAAAAAAAGAAACATATCCACCCAAAGAATTGGCAACTGGATGCATTTAAATGTACCAGGAAGGAATGACAGAGACCATGTGACTGCAGAAAAGTGAGAGAAGAGAGAACTGGATCAAGAACATCATAGAATAGGCAAAGACAGAGAGGAGAAGCAGGAAACAGAATGCTGAGGCTACAATAGACAGGAGTTAGAATGGTCACAGAATTTTCATATTCCTTATTTCCCAAAAGTTCAAGAACCAGCCACATCTTGACTCAACATTACCAAGTATGGAAAAGCACGTAATAGCTTACAATGATCTTTTCTTACAAGTGCCAGGCCCAGTGGGAACTGCTTTGCTTATGTAATCTCATTTATCCTTGCATCAGCCTCTGAAGTGGACATGACCATGATTTCCATTTTACAGGCAAAGCAACTGTGTGGCTCAGAGATGTTAAACTACTTGTCCAAAGTTGCAGAACTGTTCTGTACCAGAGACGAGTTGACTTCTGCGCTATGTAGATCTTCACAACTTGGATGGTCTTAGTAGAATTACTCAAATTTACCTTGACCCAGGCACCATGTTGTCCAAAAAGTAATTCCATGCCTCAAGAGTAAAGTGAAAACCAAATCACTGTTTTAAGACCGATATAATATTCTGAGAATGCAGCCATGTTCCGTGCTAGCCAGCTCTTCAGGTTCACTCTGTGACAAGAGCTGTTGTACATTCCCAGCATGGGCCTTCTGGTTAAGAAGGACTGCAGGCATCATTAGCCTGGGAACTGAGATTTGCACAGACTGGCTGAATGAACTGAGTCATTCAACAGCCAAAGCGAGGCAGGAAGGAGTGTGCAGACCTTACCTGAGGCTGTCAGATGTTGATACAGCCTGGAGCCATCTTAACATGCAAGAACTATTACTGAGCCATGAAAAAGAAGTGAATTGGAGTGATACCAGGTCATGTGGAATTGCTATGAGTTATTGCTGCTTGGGAAAGTAAATGCCGAGTTGTGTGTAGTAGATACCGTTCTGTCAAATGAACTATAACCAAAAAATTGCGTATGTGTGTACATGCGTGTGTATGATTGCAGAGAAAAATATGAAAGGGCATACACCAGGTTATTAATAAAGACTAGAGGGCAGGGATGAGCATGAGGGAGTGTGTCCATGTGGAGGAGAAGGACAGAAAGGTGGACATAGGGGCAAAAAGTCTCTAATTATATCAACAGCATACGTAATGTGTTTCCACTTGTGCAATATTACGTGTTGTGTGTGTGTGTATCATACATAAGAACATATTGAAGCATGGTCAGTAGAAATTTGACCAAAATTGCCTCAGACTGGTTGGTTGAATTTTTAGTGACCTTTATTTTCTTCATCAGATTTAAGTATATTTGTTTAGGTGAGTTTTTTGGAGCCTGCAGATGCTTTTGAGTGAAGAAAAAAATATATTTAAAATATTACTTGGACTTTAATATGGTCATTTATTAAAGTTATAAATGTAAAAACCCTCTTTTTCAGTTCAACTTATAAATTTTGTTATTCTATGTATGTATCTCGTAAATTTAAACAAGTACTCTTAAGGGATTTTAAAAAAAACTTTTAGGTTCGGGAGTACATGTGCAGGTTTGTTATACAGGTAAACTGTCGTCACGGGGGTTTGGTGTACAGATTACTTCATCACCCAGATAATAAGCATAATACCCAATAGGTGTTTTTTCTGATCCTCTCCGTTATCTCACGTGAAGAGATTTTTGATTAATGTTTAGACCCATTTATAAACATAGTTCATTTTCTTCTTTATATATTAAACTACATTTATAAATTATACATATTTAATTTCCTTTTTAAATACTCCAATTATCTAACAGAACTGTTCTGGGCATCTTAATAACTTATAAATAAATAAACAACATGAATAACTTAGTATTATTATGACTCCTTAAATATCACCCTACTAGGTTTAATCTCAGTAAAAGTCCTGCTTAGTATCACCTGTCTAAATTGATTACTTAATTATATATTTAAATTAGAATTACAAATATGATAAATACTAATATGCTATATCTCATAAAAATTACAGCTAAACTGCACAGATTTCTTACCATAAAAATAGTAATGCTTGGGGCTTCTTCTCTAAAACATCTCTGTATGGAATTCTAACTCTTTCTGGAGGTAGAAGACACTTATCTACTGAGAAAACATGAAATGTCAAACAGCTTGGGCAGTAGCTTTCCGGGCACCTTTAGGGATATTTTCCTAGTGGACTGAGGTTTCTTAATAACCAGAGAAGTCCCTTGTAGAGACACTGACTAGCATCTTGTTTGTAAAATTCAATCCCTGTCTGTTCTAAGGTGTATCAAAGGGCTGTATCAAAGCTTTTCCTATGGGTCTATCATACCCCATGCTCCGTAGATTCATACATTTATTATCTGTCTCTTATGGCAACTCACAAAAGCCAGCCATCCCATAACAGGTGGCTAAGCCTCTTGATTTAACTCAACAAGTCCATTTTTGGCTTCTTCATATTTGAATTTTTCTCTTGTTTCTCCTGTCTTCAGGGCTGCAACTAGAAATAGAATTCAATCTTAGTGCATAATGAGTGACGTCATCTGCCTGTAGTTACAGTTCTAGGTCTGCCAATGCAGAAGTAGTGGAATTCCATTCTGTAAACATGCACTGTTTATAAAATCCAAAAAAAATTACTATATTCATTGTGGGGTAAACAATGATATTTTTCAAGTAGATATATGGGAACATTTAGATGATTCCTAGAATGTAAGATAAATATTAATCACCTAAAATGCCAAGGGTGGTGTCCAGACCAGTTTCTCATTGTGCTGCTCAAATATATATCAGATTGGTAAATAAAATATTTGATCACAAAAGAGGAGGCATTAACTTTTAATTTCAGCTCTGACACATGAAGAGCTTGTAGGCCATCATTCTCATCTTTACAACAAGAAAAAGCTGGAGGCCAGGCTGGGTGGCTCACTCCTGTAATCCCAGCACTTTGGGAGGCCAAGACAGGAGGATCACTTGAGCCCAGGAGTTCCAGACCAGCCTGGGAAACATGACAAGACCTTGTCTCTACAAAAAATAGAACAGTCAGCTGGGCATGGTCGTGTGCTCCTGTAACCCCAGCTACTTGGGAGGCTGACGTGGGAGGATCACTTGAGTGCAGGAGGTAGAGGCTACAGTGAGCCGTGATCATGCCACTGTATTCCAGCCTGAGCAACAAAGCAAGACACTGTCTAAAAAAAAAAGAAATAAAAGAAAAGCCTGGAAAAACTGAAAATCAACAAGTTTTCTTACAGAGAACTGAATTGACAGAGATAAACTCTCACCCGGAAATCTAGGGAGATAGGTGTCACAGCGAGATACAACAACAGAGATTGGCTTACCTGGAACAGAAGCTGCTGGGCCAGTGAAGTAGCAAGAACAAGCAAATGGCAATTTTGGTACAGTGTTGGTGGCTGAGTGTGGACTGGAGTGAGAGTGAGGAGCTCCTAAAGGCCACCGTCTTGGGGTCGTCCTCACACTTTCACAGACTTTCTCTCTAGGAACCTTACCAGATTCTCACAGTGAAGATCAAACCTTCTCCATAACAAAGGTCTACTCTCCACGGAAAATTTAAAAAAAAAAAAAAAAAACCTCTTCCAGAACCACATTCTGAAATTTTGTCTCACCTGCAAGAAATAAATTCCTTCCCACTCCAGCCCTCTCCAGCCTACCTATATGATCTAAGTTGTGAAAAAAAAAAAAAAGCATAATCGAGAGTCAAGGCTTCAGAGAAATGGATTGGGCATGCTGCAGCCAGAGAACAGAGCAGGGATGCCGGGTGGGGGTTGTGGGGACATCTGTGTACCTGGAAGAGAGGCAGACACTTGGAAGGACACGGCCCTGAAACACAGGCCCAAAAAACACTGAGATTTAATCATAAGTATGGAACACTCCCCAACCCTCACAACTTATGACCACAAAAAAATCAAACTGCCAGCCAATAGCAGAAAGATAGCTGTAAAATCCTCTAATATCTGGGAATTAACACAACACACTCTTCAGTTATCCCATGAGTCAGAGCAGAAGTCTCAAGAAAAATTGAACAATATTTTTAACTAAGTAAAAATAAAAATACTTATTAAAATGTGTGGTTTGCAGCAAAAGCAGTGTTTAGAGTAAAATGTATAGCAATAAATCCATATATTCAAAAAGAAGAAAGATCTCAGATCAAAAACCTAAGTCTACACCTGAGAAAACTAGAGAAAGAAATAAAAGAGGGGCCACTATGACTGGTCCCATCGACTTTAAAAGGTCAGTGCTCACAGATTTGATTATTCAGATAAAATTGGCCAATTCCAGAAGTTAAGCAAAGAGAAACTGATAAACTGAATAGTCCGATTTCTATTAAAATAATTGAATAAATAATTTTAAACCTTTCAAAAACAAAAACAGAGCACAATGTTCAGATTGCTTCACTGGTAATTCTAACAAACATTTAAAGAAGAACTAATACCAATGCTCCACAGTCTTACAGAAAACAAAAGCAGATAGAACACTTCTTCACCCATTCCATTAGTCTAGCATTATTCTAATATGAGAAATAAAAACATTGCAAGAAAAGAAAACTTTGTACCATTATTTCTTATGAACATATGATGACAAGTATAGAAAAAGATGCTCGCTATTATTTATCATTAGGAATATGCAAGTTAAAATGACCTTGAAATAGTACTGTGCATCTATTAGAATAGTTAAAATCCAAAGATCTGATAGTATCAATTGCTGACAAGGATATTAAGTAATAGCAACTCTCATTCATTGCTGGTGGGCATGCAGAAGTATAGAGCCAGCTCGACAGTTTCTTACAAAACTAAATACAGTGTTGTCTTAGGATCCAGCAATTGTACACCTGGGTGTTTGCCCAACTGATGTAAAAATGTATGTCCACATAAAAATCTGCATATCAATGTTTATAACAGCTTTGTTCGTAATTGCCAAAAATTTGGAACCAATCAAGCTGTGCTTCAACTGATGAATAAATACAAACTTTTGTTTGGTACATCTCTCGACAGTAGAATATTATTCAGCTATAAAGTAGAATGATGAGTCAAACCACTAAAATTAAGTGCATATTAAGGGAAAGAAGCCAGTCTAAGAAGGCTGGATACTCTATGACTCCATTTTTATGACATTCTGAAAAAGGCAAAACAATAGAGTTCAGAAGCAGATCAGTGGTTGTTAGGGATTTGGGGAAAGGAGAGGACTGAACAGGTGAAGCATGCAGGACATTTTTAGGGAGTTGAGGATATTATGTATGATAATGCAACCATGAATATGTAACACCATGTATTTGTCAAAACCACAGAGCCTTCCAGCAAAAAGAATGAATCTTAATGTAGGTGAATTAAAATGTAATTAAAATTTTCAAAAAAAGCATTTAAGAGGTCATGGGACCCCAGGATGAAATGGAGACTGTGCAAATCAATCTAATTGTATTACAAATGAGTTAAATAACTTTACTAATTGGATGCTGACCTAAGTAACTTTGGAGATGAATGGAAGCTGTATGACTAAAGGCAAAAAGAACTATACCTAAACATTGCACTCTGGTTGACAAAGTTGTTTCTAACAGGGACTTACTTCTGAAACTACTATACATCTAAACTGTAATTAAACAATTAGGGCCCTGGGTGGCAGATCATGGGAGTTGGGTTTCTCACCATGAAGTGGGAGTTTACAAACAAGCTAGGGAAGAGGCTAGAATGAGCTGTGTGGTACCTGATTAGACTTAGAGACATCAGTACGAACTCATGTTTAGCTGAATAGAGATACAATGGATACATACAGGAATATTCATAGATGTGTGTATATACATGTGTTAGTATACACACATTTTTTTTTCTGTCAGCTAAGAGAACCTGGAAGCAAGGAACAATGCCACAGTAGCAATAAACACAACTGTCCCCAAATCTTGGTTTCTAATAGGATTTTCCAATAAAATGAACCAGGACTCCTTTGAGAACGCTAATTCTAAGACTGGTAAGGGAATATAAAAGAACTTGGAACTTCCAAGCACTTGGAACTTCTTGTAGAGTTAGAAAATAAAGAAGTACCAAGAAAAAAAAAAAAAAGAAAAGAGGTGGAGGGGGAAAGAAAGGATAAAATAAACAAGCAATGATGGTGATACATCAATAGGATGTGGGAGCCACCTGAAGGAGTTCCCAGTGGTTAAATCTGGAATCATTTGAGCAACAGAACAAATAAGGCGGTATTGGATTATAACCCAAAGTTTAAAATAAATACACCCTGATAAGTGTATCAGTGTAAAATAAGTGATAAGTGTAAAATAAGCCCACACTGATATAAATGATTGAATAAATGGTAACAATAGCCAAATTTTCCTGACGAAAGAATTCCAAGTAATTTATGTAGATATACCACCTCAAGAAGATGAAGCATAACTCTCACTCCTTATGTGTGGGCTTTGCAGAGCGACTTCCTTCCAGAAAGGACGACATGGAAAGAGAAGCTTTCCAGTGGAGAAACCTGGCAGGCACCACCTTAGCCAGGTGGCCAAGGTCAACAGCGACACTGATAAGCCCTGTTGATAGCATTTACCCTTGATATGATGTGATGAGAATGGTACTTTACCTCCGTAGTTTGCCCCTTCAAAACTCTCATAACCTCAGCCTAAAAATGAGAAAAACAACAGACAAGCCCCAACTGAGAGGTATTCTACATAATTCCTGACCAGCATTCCTCAAGACTGACAGTCATCAAGAACACAGAAAGTCTGAGAAACTGCTACAGAGGAGCTTAAGAAGACATGATGGCAGAATGTAGAATGGGATCCTGGATGGGATCTTGAAACAAACCAGGGACATTAGGTAGCAGGTAGGGTCATCTGAACAATGTATGCACTTAGTTAACAATGCATTAATAGTCATTCAATAATTGTAACAAACGTGCCACACTAATGTAAGGTGTAAATAATGGAGGAACTGGATGTGGAGATGTGAAGTATATGGGGACTTCCTGTGTTATTATCTCAACTTTTCTATAAATCTAAATGTATTCTAAAATGTTGCTTATTACTTTGAAAAACCAAATAGAAGAGCAGGTATCCTCCCAGGTGTACCAGTAAGGGTAGCAGTGGGGGAAAGGGGTGGTACTCTGTAGCTACAGACCTCAAAATACCTGTATGATCTTAAGACAGAGTCATCACATTTCAAATTCTGAGAAATATCATGGGAAGAACTTGAGACAGCTGCTAGGCCTTTAGAAAACAATTTACCCCAAATGTTGTCTACTATTGGTAAAGTAGCATTTCCTATCAGCCTCAGTCTTGTGACAGGCCACAAAAATGACCCTTTTCCAAAGAGTTGGTTAACATGCCATAAGATGCCTGCCCTGTTCTATCTTCAGGAAGGTGGCAGCTGGGAGGCTGAGTCATTGTGCTGTGATTCTCACAGGATGCACCTGTCTTCTGGAAAAGCTCGAAGCCTTCCAAATGCTTTAGTGCTGAATTCTCAGGAATGTGGCTTCAGAATGGGCCAGAGTCAACCATGACACATTTTATCCCAGCATCAGTCTTTGATCCTTAAATGATTTTTTTTTCCTCCTAGAGCCTAAGAAACTACTAAAGAAAATGTGGTACATATATCATGAAATACTATGCAGCTATAAAGCAGAATGAGATCATGTCCTTTGCAGGGACATGGATGGAGCTGGAGACCATTATCCTTAGCAAACTAACGGAGGGACAGAAAACAAATACTACATGTTCTCACTTACAAGTGGGAACTATATGAGGAGAACGCATGGACACAGAGAGAGTAACAAGACACACTGGAGCCTTTTGGAGGGTGGATGGTGGGAGGAGGGAGAGAATCAGGAAAAGTAACTAACGGGTACTAGGCTTAATACCTGGATAATGAAATAATTTGTACAACAAACCCCCGTGACACAAGTTTACCTGCATAATAAATGTGCACTTGTACCCCTGAACTTAAAATAAAAATTTTAAAAAATGTTAAATAATTGCTGAAGTATAAACAACATAAATGGCAAATTAACTTTTGGATTGGTTAAAGATCTATATTGCTGTTCTTGAAAGAGGTCTCTAAACATTAGAGAATGACTTTGGGTTCATTTGTTACAGCCTGACACAATGAGGTCTTTGTGGAGGGCTGCATGGGTTTGGGACATTTTGTTGCCACCAGGCCTCCTCACTTAGCTCTTGTCCGTATCTATATTTCTTTCATTTCGTAGCCAAATAGAAAATATCATTTTAATATAGAATCTCTTCTGCTGCTTGATATCTCTCCCGACATTAAAATAGCACCCCTAAAGAAATGCAAGGAAGTGAACTGAGCTATTATCAACTCAGTGTTCAAGGGAGAAATTTCTGTTTCAATCCAAGAAAATCCGAGAACCCACTGAATTACAAAGAATTGTCTACCAAGTAATAAATAAAACTATGTGTTCCACATTTGTGTCCGCACATTGTCACCAAACTTTCTGTGCATCTTATCTATGTTCCTTATTGCAGAGTTCACTACCATTTGGGGAGAAAGTCAAGAGCACAGGTTCTGAGGGCCAGACTGTCTGGCTTTGTATCCCAGCTCTGCGATGTACTAACTCCATCTCTTCCAGCCTTAGTTTCTCCAATTGTACAACAGGGATCATAAGAGAACACATCTCATTGGATAGATAAGTGGACGTGCAAGAGTTAATGCATGTAAAGCAGTTCGTAAATAAGTGCTATTTATATGTAGAAAGTCTTTATCAAACCCATAAGGGAATAGATATTTTCATGTTGGAATCATTGCCTTTCAGTGTGAAAATATATCAATGTAGTGATGGTTCTGGGATCTTGGTCAATGGTGGAGCATCACCAACACACTTGTGTCTGATTCCAAGAAGGTGTTGGAGGACAGGGGGACTTTCTCTGCCCTCTACTTTCTTCTCCCCTTAGTTCACACAAATCGAGGCTCTGAGGCCTGGGGAAAAGTATTGTTACCTTTGTGTTCTCTCCATGGTCCCAACAAAGATCGTGTGGACCCCAGCGGTAATAGGTAGGGATAGGGAAGCAACTGGCCTCCGGGAATATAGAGACGTTTATCAACAAGGTCTGCACTATCTCAGGATGGATGGCGGGGCCTCTTAATCCCTCAACCTCCTGGATGAGGGATCCAGGAGGGCACTGTTGAGTCCACACACAAAGAAGGGTGGAGGAGAAGATGTCATGGCTTCTTTCATATCTGGCAGGATTTTAGCCGTTTTGAAGATAGAGAAGGCTTAAAGGTTGAAGGTGGGAAAATTACAAATTGTAGAGTATTTGAGTGGGAATGAATGTGGGTAAGGGGTTTTGAGAGGCTGTGCCTGAGATCGCTGGGGGAAGAGGCTGGGATGGCAATGAGCTTCTAAACACAAGGCAGATGTCATGGGCTTGGTCCAAAGGGCAAGGTGCAGCCGTGAAATGATGGTCAAGGTCAAGTGGTTGGGGCAGGTCTTGTAAACAGAAATGAAGGCAGGCAGTAAAGAGAAGGGAAATACAAGTACGCATATGTGTACACTCATCTATCATTCACAGGCTTACCTTGTTGGCAGGAGGATCTGAGTCTGAGAATGGGCAGTGTCTTTCATGCAGTTGGCCTGGCCAATCTCCTGTGAACAGGGATGTTTCAGTGTTTACCAGTACACAACCTGAGTGTATGGTGTGTGTACCTCGTGTGAGTGTCATGTGCTTCACCTTGTAGCATGCACAGTACCTCCTTGAAAAGGTAGTTTCTAATTCAAACCAACTTACATTTTTATCAAGAGTCCATAGAGCCAACTACATGTGGGATTGAATGTTCAGGTGACCGACAATTCAATTTAGGACAAAACATGGACTTGTTATCTTTTTTGAAGTGTCCTTTTTAACTTGAATATTCACTGGCATATAAATATGAAACGTAAGATGTAGCCTTAGAGATGGTTGTCCCAATAGCTGTCATTTGAGAGGATGCAGTGTCTCTGATACTCATTTTAGAAAATATGAAAGCAAATTTTTATGTTTATTTTTGACTATTGTAAAATCTTCAAATGCAGATTTAAGATGTCATTTATTGCCAATTGTTGATTTTTGCTCATTTGTGCATCAATATTAGTTTATGGAATTGAATTCTCTTTTTGCAACGTTATTGATAATTTTAGTGTATATAGTAGAAGGCTGCATTTCCCAAGCAGTCTTTCCCCATCATAGAGCTCTTCCCATCAGTGTCATTGCCTCTAGCCAGACTTCTTATGTTTCTGATGAAATGTGAAAGATAAGCATATTCCTGCAAGGAAACCGTAATTGTTTTCAAAGAGGAGCAAACATCTTTCTTTCATTTCTTCTCAACATTCACTTAAACAATTGACTAAGAACAAAACTACCAGAGATGTGTAAATACCAGAGACATTTAAATATTAAATATGATATCCATTTATCACCAGATTTATTCTCATTTGCAATTTAACCAGATCTTGTTTGAAATAGTGTTGGTGTTCAATGATGCATGAGTGATAATCAACCAGTTAATGAAAGATTATACTGCTTTGATTTCTTGGGGGAGAAAAATAGACTGAATCATAGGATATTTAAAGAGTTCAAAAATTCTTTTTCAGTTAAAAAATCCCCATTTTTATACCTAGCCGAAGGTTTTCTCAATTCCCTAGTACATACATTGTTATGACACTGTGGGTTATTTTGAGAAATTCATTTTGCTTCATCCTGATTTCATTCATTCTTCACTTCTCTGAAATCTAGGAAATGCAAGTGCATTCCCCAGGGACCCACAGCATGTGGGGTGGGGTAGGGGTTTCCAGAAGCTCTCCATCCTTCCTGATGGAGGCAACCATCACATGGGCCTATCTGGGCAGGTGGGAAATATGAGAGGGCATTTTTGAGCACCCTCTCTGTTTTAGAGAGGCCATTAAATGTGTTCACATAAGTGTTGTCATTCTCATACTCAGAAACCATTCTAACCTTCATAAGTGAATGAGAGCAACTTTTTATTAATGTTGTAACTTTTAACAATTTCACATTGAAATATAGCCTAGGCATTTTATTAGATCATGTTAACAACCGCTATTGATGACTTAAAAGACAAAAAAATCTATTTAGATAGATACATGGATGTGTCTGAGCATGTGTGTTTCTAATTATAATGTGTATATATGATATGACTGTAGAAAAAAAAGGTAACTTAGATTTTCGTTAAAGATGTTTAAAAATACTCTTCTGGTTCTGAGAAAAGCTGTCTTCCTATTGGAGCTTTTTTTACCTGTGTTTAGGAAGCCCATATGTCATGCTGCAAGAAAAGAATGTGTTTAAGAGCTGAAAATGGCATTTCCCTTAGGATAGTAGCAGCTGGAATGAAAGCGGTGATGATGGCAAGTTCAACGTGGCTCAGAAATGACTTGAATGGGGGCTCTCAGGCTCAAGTGATGGGCTGGTCTCTGGGTTGCAGGACTAAGGACCATGTTCAGGTGTTACCTGGGGTTCAGGGCCCTGCAGCCTGGGGACCTCCTCAAAGCTGCTCTGAGGGTGAGTCTCAGGAGGCAACTCCAATCCTGCACCTTCCTCTTGGCTCCCACATCGGGAGCAGGGACTGAGGGCAGGCTGCTGGGCAGGTCTCCTGGTGTCAGGAGGGGAAAGAGAGGCCACACCGGACACACCTGAGAAGGGAACAAAGGTTGGTAGGGATGCTGGAGGGGAGCGTGGTCATGGGTAAAAGAATATTGAGCAAAGAACATTTCCAGGGATTAAAGTTTATTATATTTGCAGATTTGGCCCTCATTCTAAGAAACTTCCATTAGACTTTAGATCTTTAATACAGATCAGTATAGATTTCAAACTTTAAAATTGTCTCAATTATATAGAAGGACACTTCTCAAGATTTTTGATCCTAGGACCACTTTATAATCTTAAAAATTCTTGAAGATTCCAAAGGGCTTTTGTTTCTGTGGGTTGGATCTATCAATATTTGCTGTACTAGAGATTACACTGAGATATTTTTTTAAATGACAACTATGACATATTATCATAAATATACTTCTTAATAAACTATTTTTAGAAATTGGTGAGAAGAGGATGAATTATTTTACATTTTTTGAAAATCTCTGAAGTCTGGCTTGTAGCTGCTTCTGCATTCAATCTACTGTGATGTGTTATGTTCGTTGAAGCATATGAAGAAAATACAATTCGCACAGAGGTGTAGTTGGACAGGGAAGCTTAATAGCATTTTCAGATCATCATGGCTATTGCTCTTTGATACTCTACCAAAATTTGGCAAGCGGTGGTTTTTAAAGATTAATTCCCATGCAGAACCAAAAACCATATCAACAGCCTTTTCCTACCCTATTGCATTAAAATATATCAGTGTTTCTGGATCTTTTACACATGCATGATTTTATAACACCATGCATTGGTTTTTGGAAAGTATTTATTCACTTAGTAATGTAGACGTTCCAAATGTTGATGCACTCCATTATACAATACTTTTGAAAATCACATTTATAATATCACTACTAATGTCATCCAAAATATCTTTAAATATTGGGAAGGTGTGTTAAGCATGTGGTGAAGAATCCAAGTTTTCTAAAATCGAATTAAGACTTAAAAGCTCAAATTTTACCACTGGCAACAAACACTCTCAGTTGTTTCCCTTGAAGTGACAGGCTCACTTCATTCCTTTTGAGAAAATGTTTGTCAAATACCCAGACAAAAATAGTTTATCAGTTTTTCTTTCAAGTAGAAATGTGTTCCATGAAAATCACAGCTGATCAGCTCATATTCAGTCCCACACTGGAGCTTTTCTTGAGCACCCAACACACAGGTGCTTTGTATGTTTCTGCCATTCTGTCACACAGAATGTTAAAAACGCACACCCTCAATGGTTGAGATGGAATGAAATGAAATGATTTCCACTGCTTAGTCAAGGACATGCTGAAGTGAAGCTGCCACGTTTGTTTTTGTTGCGAGTGTTGACGGACAATTGTGAAGACCACAACGGCCGTGAGAAGAGTTTGGTGCCACTGCCTTGAATCCTATTAAGGCCCCAGCAGATTTGCCCACTGTTGCTTTTGTACTGTTGGCTAAAAAGGCAAATAATTTTTTAGTGTTATTCTGAAAATAGCTCTGATCTCACAGATCCTTTGAAAAAGTATCAGGGATCCCAGGTGTTGTTGGACTGTACCTGAGATCAGTTGATACAAAACAATCTTATGATTACTATTTATATGTATATTATATATAATATGTATTATTTTATATTATGCATATCATATATATTTTATGTTATTTATATAATAATCCTATTACGTATGTATATTATATATTTATATATTATACATATATGTATTATACACGTACACATTATTATACATATAAATATACATATGAAATAATTTTTCAGGTTATCTAGATCTTGGATCTGAGTAATCCAATCAGGTGTCTGATTGTAATGCCCTCTGCAGGCTGGGTAGTGTGGTGGTGGCATGGGTGGGACAGGTAGTGTAGTTCTGGGAGAGATCCGTCTATTATTCATGGTTTCACTCTACTCAACTCTTTGAGGCTCTCAACTCTTTTTCATCCTGTTTGACACTCCACAACTCTTGCATAATAATAAACAGAGGTACTATAGTCAGGCAAAAATGAATTTAAATCCTTACTTTGCTTCTCACTAGCCATGTGAATTGTAGCAGGTTTCTGAGCACCTCTGAGCCTCAGTTTCTGCATCTGTGAAATGGAGATAATACAAAGCTACCTCCTAGGATGGTTCAGAGATTAATGAAATTAAAACCTCCATTGATGGAGTGACCTCAGACAACACGTTGTAAAAGTAAGCTTGTGCAGCCTCGTGGCCCAGTGAGCACAGTGATGAGCGCAGAAGGATAAATGACCACCTTTTGGTTGGGTGCTAGGGTGAGCCTGCTGCATTTCCTACCGCTTTTCACACATGCACAATACCTCTATCCACCTTGGAATACAAGGAAATAAATTGTGTCCTGCATCTGTTTCTTCAGTCACAGTTAAGCTGTGAACTCTCATGGGGAGTCTCATATAGCTATTCTAATACATCCTCATCACTGTGTGGCACCAAAATTGTGGAGACTTTTTATTAAAGATTATACAGTGTTAGAGTTTATCATAGCAGAGTTTGCATAACATCAAATTTCTTTATAGTCTATTTATGTACCATGGAGGAAAACCATTTTAATTAAAAAGTGGGATAAGCTAATTTATCTCTTGAATACCAAATGTCTTAACCTCAAAACCCAGGCTAAGGTTATTCTTACAAATACAGAATGTTTTCAGAGGAGACAAAATAGTGAATTCAGTGAATATTTTGTTGTACAGTCCATTCTGTATTTTCCTTCTACATTTTATTTATTAAGTCAGACATGTATATTCACTTTAAATGAAACTCTTCTAATGCTTGACTTGGCTACGTTTGGAAATAGCCACTCGAGGTTGGTTCATGGAGAAAGAGGTAGCTGGCCACACACAGACAATGACTCTCCCTCAAGTGTACACAAGGTGCTCACATCTTCCCAAAGCCTGCTTCCAGGACCCCAGGCCACAGTGGATGTGAGAGAGACAGGATGTCATGTTGAAAGGCAGTTTTATATTGCTAAGGCTCCCATAACACAGTTAAAACCAAAGATCAAATCTAACCTGGCAAAACGTTGAAAACAGTTTACAGCTGTTTGTTAGAAAAAGTTAAGCCATTAACTCCTTAGATAGCCTTGATTCCCGTTTTCTTTTTGTCCACAGCTATTTAGTATCTTTTATGGAAGTATAGAATATTTATGTCTGAACTGCACCAAACATATTCAAAAATGCTATTTGGTGTATATATAACAAAAGTAAACATATGTAAGATTTCTACCTGTTGGCATTTGTATTAATTTACAAACATTTATGAAGTAGAATGCTACTCAAAAAAATTCATTTAACTTCACTTGTTGGTTATTGGTTTTATTAATAAACATATAGAGAAACAAAATAAATGATAATATGGAATATTGGCAGAGATGCACAAATATTTACATTCTGATATATCATTTGGCAGGAAAATTTTTTAAAGCAATTTGACAAAATATATCAAAAGCCAAAGACAGTTAATGTCTTTTGACTCATTAATTTCACCCTTAATTATCTATACCAAAGAAATAAAAGTTATAGACAAATATTTATGTAGAAAGAGTCAAGACAGAACTTTAAAATAATAAAAAATTGTTTCTCTCTAAATAGCTTAATGAAGTGACTGCTTCTGTGAATGGTGGTGCATCAGCCTAATTCAATATTATGTGGTAATTTTAAATTATGGGTTTAAATAAGTTTTCTTAATATAGGAGGCAGTCGTATAATATAGCTGCATTTTTAAAAAGCAGGATTTGACCACCATGATCAAGTAGGCTTTATCTCCAGGATGCAAGGTTGATTCAACATACACAATCAATAAATGTGATTTATCACATAAACATAACTAAAGACAAAAGCCACAGGATTATCTCAATAGATGCAGGAAAGGCTTTTGATAAAATTCAACACTCATTCCATTTCAAAACTCTCAATAAACTAGGTATTGAAGGAACATACCTTAAAATAATAAGAGCTATATATGACAAACCCACAGCCAATATCATATGGAATGGGCAAAAGCTGGAAGCATTCACCTTAAAAACCGGCACAAGACGAGGATGCCCTCTCTCACTGCTCCTGTTCAACATACTATTGAAAGTCCTAGCTAGAGCAATCAGGAAAGAGAAGGAAATAAAGGGCATCCAAATAGGAAGAGAGGAAGTCAAACCAGATGACATGATTCTATATGTAGAGAACTTCATAGTCTCAGCCCAAAAGATTCTTCAGCTGATAAACAACTTCAGCAAAGTTTCAGGATACAAAATCAATGTACAAAAATCACTAATTCCTATATACCAACAACAGCCAAACTAAGAGCCAAATTAGAAAGGCAATCCCATTCACAGCCACAAAAAGAATAACATTTCTAAAAATACCAGCTAACCAGGGAGGTGAAAGATCTCTACAACAAGAATTACAGAACACTACTGAAAGAAATCAGGGAAGACACAAACAAGTGAAAAAAAAAATCCCAAGCTCATGTATAGGAAGAATCAATATCATTAAAATGGTACTGCCAAAATCAATTCACAGATTCAGTGCTATAGCTATCAAACTACAAATGACATTCTTCACAGAACTAGAAAAAAATTTTTGAAATTCATATGGAACCAAAAAAAGGGCCTGAAAGCCAAAGCAATCTTAAGCAAAAAGAACAAAGCTGGAAGCATCGCGTTACCCAACTTCAAACTCTACTACAGGGTTACAGCAACCAAAATACCATGGTAATGGTACAAAAACAGGCTCATCGTCCAATGGAACACAATAGAGAGCCCAGAAATAAGGTCACACATCTACAATCATCTTAGCATTGATAAAGCTGACAAAAACAAGCAGTGGGGAAAAGACTCCCTATTCAAGAAATGGTGCTAGGATAACTGGCTGACCATATGCAGAAGATTGAAGCTGGACCCCTTTCTTACAACATGTACAAAAATCAACTCAAGAAAGATTAAAGACGTAAAACCCAAAACCATAAAAACCCTGGAAGACAACCTAGGCAATACCATCCTGGACACAGGAATGGCAAAGATTTCATGAAAAAGATACCAAAAGCAATTGCAACACAAGCAAAATTTGACAAGTGGAAGCTAATTAAACTTCAGAGCTTCTGCATAGCAAAAGAAATGATCAACAGAGTAAACAACCTACAGAATGGGAGAAAATATTTGAAAACTATGCATCTGGTAAAGGTCTAATAATCAGGAACTTAAGCAAATTTACAAGAAAAAAACAAACCACCCCATTAAAAAGTGGGCAAAGGACGTGAACAGACACTTCTCAAAAGAAGACATATATGTGGCCAACAAGCATATAAAAAAATCTCGATATCACTGATCATTAGAGAAATGCAAATCAAAACCACAATGAGATATCATCTCACACCAGTCAGAATGACTTTAATAATTTTATTATTAAAAAGTATAAAAATAACACATGCTGGAGAGGTTGTGGAGAAAAAGGAATGCTTATACACTATTGGTGGAAGTGTAAATTAGTTCAGTCATTGTGGAAGACTTGAGTGGGGAGAGTCAGAGGAGGGAGAGGAGCAGAAAAGACAACTATTGGGTACTGGGCTTAATACCTGAGCAGTGAAATAATCTATACAACAAACCCCCATAACACAAGTTTACCTATGTAACTAAACCTTCACATGTACCCCAAACCTAAAATAAAAGTTAAAAAAAGCAGGACGTTTGAAAAGTATATGTATACATATATGTAGTATTATGTTGACAAGGCTCAGAAATCATATCTTTTTAGATAGAAGAAAATGTGCTTGTTAAAATGGTTGCTTCTCTCAGTATTACAATTATGAATGATATCTTTCTATGCTTTTTTATACTTTTCTGCATTTTTCAAACCTTCTGCATTAAGCTTCTATTCATTTGCAATCAGAAAAATATAATCAAGAAATGTAATACAATAATAAGATATATACATAGTCTTCTGAGACTTCAAATATAAAATAATCTTGAAATGATGAAAATCTTTGTCATGGCATTTTTGAGAAAGGGATAACAGATATTCTCTTTTAGAAAGCCAGGTTGTGTTTTAGAGTTTGAGGAGAGAAATCTGTCCACTGGTCCCTTTTCTGGCCTGGGAATGGAATCATTAGTTGTGTTCAGTTTTTCAGACACAGCCATCTTTGTTTTCTACTTAGGGTGACCGACTTTGAAAAATAATGCAAATGACATGAGATTCTCGGCCAAGAAAAGACATTGGTCACTTAGCCCTGCCAAGGTGTCCTGTCTGTTCCATCACATTCTAACAGGGCAGCAGCTCCAGGGGGGAGGTAGGGCAGTGGCTGCCTTCTCATGGGGGCACTGGTTGGCTGCGGGAGGGGCCTCCTGGCCTTACTGCTGGGTGTTACCTGTGCTGCTGTGACAACAGTCTCATCTGCCAGGTGCAAAATCTGCTCTATGATGAACAATTTAAGTGATATTCCTTGTGGTTGCATAAATCTAGTTTAAACAGTATTGACATTTTCCTATACTCACAGTTCTCACTTTGGTTTTGTAACTGATGATGCATTAATAGGTGTTGATTATAGATATCCATGTAGATAAGCCTATGATTTCTATCAAGATTCTAAAATAGACGGACTTTGCCTCTAGAGGTTTTTAAAAGCTTTTTTTATAAAGCAACCAGTTTAATATAAATTTCATAAAAAAATGGATCATTGGCTGGGTGTAGTTGTTCATGCCTGAAATCCCAGAGCTTTGGGAGGCCGAGGTGGAAGGATCACTTGAGGCCATAAGTTAAAGACCAGCCTGGGCAACATATTGAAACTCTGTTTCTAAAAAAAAAAAAATTTTTTTTTTAAATTAGGCAGGCATGCTGACACATGACTGTAGTCTTAGCTACTTGGGCAGACGGCTGAGGTGGGAGGATCACTTGAGCCCAGGAGTTTGAGGTTGCAGTGAGCTATGATCTTGCACACCAGCCTGGGTGACAGAGAGATCCTGTCTCTAAAACAAATACAAAACAAAAAGGGCTCATTTGTTTTATAGGAGGCCAAAAGAAATCATTGCATGTCTTGACTTGCTTAGCACTTATTCTGAAGAAGAAATATTGGCGTGAAATGCATGTTTATAACTGGGTCCTTCCCATAGTAGTCTTGAGCACAAATACCAAAGTTGTTTTTTTTTTTTTTTAAAGGAGAAGAAAAGGAGCAGTTTCACCTTTTTTATACAGAATGTAGACAAAATGGCAGTCATTTATGATTGATTTGTTCTACCTACTTAGCATGCAGGGACTCCCCAGTGTGGTTTTTAAATTAATTAGTTAATTTTTTTCTTTCATTAGTTTTAATGGTACAAGTGGTTTTTGGTTACGTGGATGAATCGTGTAGTGGTGAAGTCTAGGATTTTAGTGCACGCATCACCCAAATAGTATACATTTACCCAACTGCTAGTTTTTCATTCCTCACCTCCCTCCCCACTTCTGAGTCTCCAATGTCCATTACACCACTCTGAATGCCTTGGCATACCTATAGCTTAGCTCCCACTTATAAGTGAGAGCATGAGTACCTGGTTTTTAATTCCTGAGTTACTTCACTTAGAATAACGGCCCCCAGTTTCATCCAAGTTGCTATAAAAGTCATTATATTTTTTTTTATGGCTGGGTTGCATTTCATGGTATATATATCACAATTTTTTCTTTTTGTTTTTTTTTAGTTGAGTCTTGCTTTTATGATTTTTTTCCTTTCCAACTGTTATTTTAGGCTCAGAGGGTACACGTACAGGTTTTTTACATGGGTAAGTTGTGTATGAACCACATTTTCTTTATCCATTCATGGATTGATGAGGACTCAGGTTGATTCCATATCTTTTTTTTTTTTTTTTTTTTTTTTTTTTTTTTTTTTTTTTTGAGACGGAGTCTCGCTCTGTCGCCCAGGCCGGACTGCGGACTGCAGTGGCGCAATCTCGGCTCACTGCAAGCTCCGCTTCCCGGGTTCACGCCATTCTCCTGCCTCAGCCTCCCGAGTAGCTGGGACTACAGGCGCCCGCCACCGCGCCCGGCTAATTTTTTGTACTTTTAGTAGAGACGGGGTTTCACCTTGTTAGCCAGGATGGTCTCGATCTCCTGACCTCGTGATCCACCCGCCTCGGCCTCCCAAAGTGCTGGGATTACAGGCGTGAGGATTCCATATCTTTACAGTTGTGAATTGTGCTGTGATAAACATGTGTACAGGTGTCTTTTTGATATACTGATTGCTTCAAGAACTTAGGAACTCTGGAGTTTGATGCATATATATTTACAATTGTTACATCTTCTTGTTTAATTGGTCATTTTATCATTATATAGTGACCTTTGTCTTTTTCTTGTTGTTTTTTGTTTTGTTTTTTTTTTTTTTTTTGCTGTTGTTGCTTTGAAGTCCGTTTTATTTGATATCAGAATCGCTACTCCTTGTTTTTGGCTTCCATTTGCTGGAAATCTCTTTTTCCACCCTTTACCTGTAGTCTATAAGAATCCTTACATGTTCAGTGGTGTTTCCCAAAGACAGCGGTGTAGGCTGCTACTCACAGCTTCTTTCAAAGCTGTTTACGGTCCTGTGTTCCTTCTTGGAAAAAAGTTCACAGTGTGAATCTCTACACACTATTTTATCTTTCCAAGTGGAAAAGGAATGCTAACAATGCCTATATTCCATCATCTTGGAAAAACAAAACAACAAGAAAAACCCAATGTAAATATTATCAGCACAGAATCTTTCTTTATAGGCTCCAAAATATACCAGATGCACACTTCATATTTTATCTTGATTACATATGCCACTCTTTAGAGTCTCAGCTAACTATGACTGAGTAAGAATGTCTTAGAACACAGGCTCCCACGTCCATGAGTGCATTAAATATTCTTATTTCCAAAGTGGCCAGGCTGGCTGATAGCTATGACTAGTTGGAGAGAAAGCAGCATTTATAGCCTAAGTGGGCTGGGCAACAAACTACCTGAAATCCTTAGGAGCAAGAATAGAAGGGATGCCTTGTTCTCTACACCCAGGTATCACTCATTGCCTGATGTCTCGCTTCGTGTGTTTGCTGGGTTTCCGTCTGTCTAGGAAAGGAAGCTCTATGGGGGCAATGACTCCAATGAGTTTGTCTCCCTTTATTCCTCACCATGTAGGTGTGGATTTGAGTGGACTCCAAATGGCTGGGCCAAGGGCCTTGGATACCAAACACAGCAGAAGATGCGGAAAGGATGAGGGACCCAGGGGTTCTGTCTTTGGGGGAAGAGCCCTGTTCCCTGGACATTGCCTCCTTATATCCCTGCACTAGAATATCGTAAAATTCCCCTAGTCAAAACCCATGATCCTGCATGTCTTGGAGAGGCTGCCTCAAGGATTCCTCCTTGACTCCACTTATTTTCATGGAGAAGGAACCCCTCCATCCCTGGCATCCTTAACAGATTCCCTTCTAGCTTCTCACCCACTCCATCTCCAAGCCAGGTTTCCCTTCGCTTCTAGAAATAATCTGCAGTGGCTGCCTAAGATGTTTTCTGCGTGGAACCCAAATAAAAATGTAATAATTTAAATTAGAATTTTCTACAATCATGTGTTGCTCATGTCTGCATTATGGATACCCAGGTCACATGTAGGTAAGCAATTAGCAATTATGGTGGAAACAAGACTTCCTAACAGGTATTTTGGTGGAAACTTGAAAGCTGTTTCTAAAGCTGTTTATTCATGCAAACCTCATTACAGTCCTGACAGTAAACCTATGTGTGCACAGGGAGGCAGGAGGCTGTGAGGCAGCAGCAGGATCCTTCACCCCATGGCTCACTCACAGTGCACTCTTTAACCAGGTCTTATTATGTCCATGCTTCTGGGGTGATTAAAATATGCCCTAGAAGCCTTGATACCCAAAATAAAGCAAAACGTGGAATATGAAGTTTAAAAATGTGAAATAATAAGTAAAAGTTTTGTGAAATACATTTTTCTATACTGTTCAAATGATCTTGAAGATGGCATCCGTTTCTTAGGTCTGCCATGCAAAATGACCACGATGGAGTGGCTTAAAACAACAGACGTTTCTTCTCTCACAGACATCTGAAATCAAGAAGTCAGCAGGGCTGGTGCCTTCTGGAGGCTCTGAGGGCACATCAGTTCCTCACCTCTCCCAGCCTCCAGAGGCTTCCTCAACCCTTCACACTGCTGAGCCTGTGGCTGCCTCACTCCAGTCTCTGCCTCCACCTTCACATGGCTTCTTTTTTGTGTCTCTGTGCCTTCTCCTTTTCTGTCTCTTATATGACATTCTTCAGTGGATTTAGGACCCACCCTAATGAAGGATGACCTTATCTAGAGGTTCTTACTTTCTTTAACTCTGCAAAGACTGTATTTCCAAGTAAGGTCATATTCTGAGATTCCAGGGGTTGGGATGTTGATATATTTTTGAAGGACCACAATTCAACCCACTAAAGGGATGAAAATTAAACTGAAAAATATCAACCCCTAAAAAACCTGCTTTATTGCCAACCATATAAATTGCTCTTTGTCACAATATACAACAGAGGCCTCACAAACCTTGGTGTTCTTGGTGTGAGAATGGTGAAAAACAAGATAGAAAGCAGCCTGAAATATGCACAGGGGTGTGTCATCTCGTTACTGGGAAAGGATGTACTGTCCAAGCGACAACTAGACTGCAGAGGTAAGGCTGAGACCAGGGCTGCCATGGTGTTTAGATTGAACATGAAGTTAGAATTCTTAAGTATCAAAACTAAATTCATGTTCAATCTAAACCCCATGGCTATGCCTCTCAAGGTGAGGCCTCTGTGTTGTTCTCTATGCCTTGAGCACCCTTCCTTCTTTGCAATAAAAAAAGTTGCAGAATTGACTGGGCACAGTGGCTCACGCCTATAATCCCAGCACTTTGGGAGGCCGAGGCAGGCAGATCATGAGGTCAGGAATTCGAGATCAGCCTGGCCAACACAGAGAAACCCTGTCTCTACTAAAAATAAAAAAATTAGCCAGGCGTGGTGGTGCACGCCTATAATCCCAGCTACTTGGGAGGCTGAGGCAGGAGAAATGCTTGAACCTGGGAGGCGGAAGCTGCAGAGAGCAGAGATTGGGCCACTGAACTCCAGCCTGGGCAACAGAGCAAGACTCCCTCCCACCCCCCACACCAAAAAAAAAAAAGCTTCAGAATTTCAGTCTCCCACAACAAAACCCACACACACACAAATTTGTGTAGCAGCTACTATTTGCCAACAATTAGGGTCTACACAATTAAGACATCATCTTTAACCTCAAGCAGTTTACAATCCAGAGGGCAATGATGGAGGAGAATAATGAGGTGTGGATAAAAGTGCCTATTAGCAGAGTATGCAGTGGAAAGTGTGATAACACTTCTAGATAGAAGGCAGTTGGTCCATAGGTATTTTGGTGAGAATCTACATGTCTGATGCATCATGGGCTGTACCAAGGACAAGTCACTGCCTTTGGAAATGTTTGACTCATGCCCTGATGGATAGGTGGATAGGTCTACACATCAAAAATGCATGCCTGGCTACACATTTATGAGAACAACAAAAATTTTTTAAAAATTATAACGCCACATGCTGGCAAAGATGTGGAGAAACTGGATCTCTCATGCATTGCTGGTGGGTATGTAATATGGTGCAGACATTCTGGAAAACTCTTTGGCAGTTTCTCATAAAACTAAACATGCACTTACCATGTGGTCCAGCAATTGTTCTCTTAAGCATTTATCCCAAAGAAATATGAATTTATGTTCACAAAAAGTTATATAAAAATATCCATAGCAGCTTTCTTTATAGTAGCTAAATTCTGGACAAACAGCAACAACAACAACAACAAAATGAATGTTTCTCACAGGTGAATGGTTGAAAAATCTATGGTCCATCCATAGTTTGGAATGCTGCTATTCAGCAATCAAAAGAAATGAACTGTTGACACACACAATAACCTAGATGAGTCTGAAGGGCATTACGCTTAGTGAAAAAAAGCCAACTTCAAAAAGTTATCTTTATAAAGCATTCTCAAAACGATAAAACAGCAGAGGTGGAGAATACCTTAGTGGATACTAGTAGACAGGTACAATGGGTAGGATGGGGCCAGGTGCAAACACAGACAGATAGGAATAAGGAATTCTTCTGTGGTGTGGAATAGTTCCTCATTTGATGGTGGTGGTGGGTACATGGACCTGTAATGGGATAAAGTTAAACGGAAGTATACACCTACAGAGCTACACGAGCACATACACACAAATGAATGTGGGTTAAAAATAATGAAGGTGGCCAGGTGCAGTGGCTCATGCCTGTAAACCCAGCACTTTGAGAGGCTGAGGAGGATGGACCACCTGAGGTCAGGAGTTCGAGACCAGCCTGGCCAACATGGTGGAACCCTATCTCCACTAAAAATACAAAAATTAGCCAAGCATGGTGGCACATGCCTGTAATCCCAGCTACTGGGGAGGCTGAGGCAGGAGAATCATTTGAACTTGGGAGGCAGAGGTTGCAGTGAGCCAAGATCGTGCCACTGCACTCTAGCCTGGGTGACAGAGCGAGAATCCATCTTAAAGAACAAATAAATGAATAAAAGATGAAGGCATCTAGTCTACTGGATAATGTTAACTGGGAATGTTCCCATGTGGGTTTCCTGGCTCTGATATTGCACCACAGCTATGGAAATTCACAACATGGCCAGAAGCTAAAGGACACACAGGACTCTACTATTTTTGCAACTTCCTAGGAGTCTGTATTGCAAAACTTTAGCTTTGTAAAAGTAAATGCCAAAAGATATATATGTGCAATAAATGTGAATATATACATTAAAAAGTTGTGGGAGTTTGGAGAAGGGAGAGCCCCTTGTAGGGGTGAGGTCAGGGAGGGCTCCATAGAGGAGGTAGGACGTGAGTTTAACCTGGAAGGTGGAATGAAATCCAACTTGAAGAACTGGAGGTAATTTTCAGAATGGCAAAACAGTGCCAGCCAGTCATACCTGGAAAAGGAAAACCATGTTCTCAGACCTCAAAATAGGGAATGGGGGAGGTGGAGAAACATACAAGGTATGTTTGAGTGCTGGGGTGGAATGTCTGGGTAAAGAAGGAGTTAGTGGGTAACTGGAAACATAGGTTGCAGCAAGATTATAAAACGTCTTAACTTTTAAGCTGTGAAAACTGAGCTTAATCTGTAAATAGCAGGAAGACATTGTAAATTGCAAGTGAGAGGATATCATACTGGAAGTTGCATGTGAGGAAGCTGAGTCTGGCAGAGCCCTAGGATAGACTGGAGTGGAAAAGGAAGATGAATGAGCGATGAGTTATAATGCCATTTCACAGCCCAGCACAGGCATCCTGATTATGGCTTGCAGTAAGCTGATGGTCACGGGCCTAGAGGGGACAAGTCTAATTTAAATGATGCTATGAACCTTGACCAAGAAGGACCAGGCCACTGATTGCCTTGGGGACCTGGAATCCATCCAAGGAGGAGCCTGGGACAGGAATAGGGACAGGGAGAAAGCTTGGAAGGAAAGGTGCCACATTTCATCTGTCTCATGTTGATTGTAAGGGGATGGTGTGCCTTCCAAATGGAAGTACCTGGCTGACCTCCAGAGATGGGAGACAGCAGCTCAGGAGAGAGTGGTCAGGGCTTTATAAGAAATAATCGAGACAGCCCAAGCAGGTCAGATCAGCAAGGGTAAGAGTGGAAAAGAGAGCAGAAGAGGAAGAACAGAAATGTAGGAGTCTTGTGTGTGCAGGCATCGCCATGCAACGTCTATGAAATGAGTAGTTTCTCACTTCATCCAGTCTTCTTCTTGGCATTTTGCTCAAAGCCTGGCATTATACTGGACAGGTCCAGGGTTGGCCACACACCCTGCATAACCTTCTCACTCATCCTCCCCCACTGCTTCCTTAACAACCTCCTGTCACTCACTGTCATCAAGGCGGAAGCATGTGCACTTCACTTCATCAACCATGGCAACCAGCTCTGAGAGTCCCAAGTGGAAGACGATGAGGGGAGAATCACTCATTGTCCTCGTGGCTACAGGCAGCCTCTCTGAGCCCACAGAACCTCACCCCTACAATTAATCCTGAATGCGAGTTCTCAAAATAGTGCCCGCTCATTTAGCTGTCAGCTGTCTTGCTCTTAGAGCTTCTGAAAAGAAATCACAATAGCTCAGACCTCATCTTTGAGGGGCTGTTTGTTTTGAGGGCTTTTTCCTTAGTTGCATGCTTCCTATTGCCAGCAAAAATTTCTTAATCTTCCTAGAGGATCAGATTGGCCTGTTTTAGATTTTTAAATGAAAGGTTAAGAGGAGGGAGGAGTAGGGCAGTGAAAGCCGCAGCTGCCTCTCCATATTTCTGTTTCGCAACCCAAGGGGATTTTGTGTAGGGCTAAATGGAACCCCCTACGGATAACAGTTATGTCAGGAGATCTTTCTGCATGTTCTCGTCATACTCAAAATGTTCCTTCACATGTAAGTTAGAGAGGACATGTTACTTCTTTCCCCAGCTGTTTCCTGGTGAGTAAGAACTCCTGACCATGTGAGAATATGAGAGCATGCAGCACTCCAAGATCCTTGGGGAAAACAATGAAAGCAACAGCTCAGTGAGCCATTCTCCATGCTCAACCGAAAACCCTTTGAGATTCGCTGCCACTTTCTGTGACAATGGAATTGTGGCCCGGTTTAGCCCAGAAATGTGTTGCCCAGGCTGGAGTGCAATGGCGCAATCTCAGCTCACTGCAGTGTCTGCTTCCCAGGCTCGAGCTATTCTCATGCCTCAGCCTCCCAGGTAGCTGGGATTACAGGCACCCACCACCACACCCAGCTAATTTTTTGCATTTTTAGTAGAGATCAGGTTTCACCATGTTGGCCAGGCTAGTCTCAAACTCTTGACCTCAGGTGATCCACCCACCTCAGCCTCCCAAAGTGCTGGGATTACAGATAAGAGCCACCATGCCTGGCCAGTGCTGCTCAAATTTGAACCAGGAATATTTGTTGATGGGAACATACACTAAATCTATTACTCCATGGATTCCATTTTTATTCCATTGATAATGTATTATAGGTATTATTAGGAACTAACTTGTGTCTCCCCCTAAAATTCGCATGTTGAAGCCGCAACTCCTGCTGTGACTGTATTTGAAGATAGAGGCTTAAAGAGGTGATTAAGGTAAAATTAGGTCCTAAGGGTAGTTCTCATCTAATCTGACTGGTGTCCTTCTAAGAAGAGGTTAGCGTGTAGCCACACACATGGAGGAGTGACCGTGTGAGGACCCCAGGTGAAGATGGTTATCTGCAAGCCACGGAGAGAGGCCTCAGGAGGAATCAACCCTGTCAACAACTTGGTCTTGGACCTCGAGCCTCCAGGACTGTGAGATAATAAAGTCCTATTATTGAGGCCAATCCATGATAATTTATTATGGCAGACCTAGCAAATGAACACAGATCTATCTTTCTGAGACTTTACATTATAGTTTTTGTGTTTTAGGGGCTGAATAATATGCCACTTATAGATGTGTAATTACTTTTTAAGTAACTGTGAACATTTATGTTGTGCCTAAAGGCTCCTATAATCAATAAGATTGCAATGAGCCATCCTTATACATAAACTATGCACATTTATCTAATTAATTTCCTAGGATAAAATACAAGAAAAGGAATTACAGGGTCAAAAGATCTGCTCACACAACATATTTTTACACCTGGCCAAACTGGCTTCCCAGAAGACTGTACCATCAGACATTTCCATTGCAAGACTAGAGTGCCAGCACCCCAGTCCCCACCTCCTACCAAACTGGACACTTTCAGTCATCTGCTCTGCAATGGCAAGAAAATTTCACAGAAATTAAAGAAATTATAGAAAGAATTTGAATATCTTGGTATTTTAATATTGAAATTTCCATTTGTTTAATGAATTCTCTATCCTTTTTCACTTTTTCTGGGATTGTTTTTAGTATTTATAAATTTATGTTATTGCATAATAATACTTTTTTACTATAGTTACAATTTTTTTTCGGTTTGACTTTTTAAAAATTTTGTTTTCCATATTTATTTGTTTGCATGTTTATTGCCATACAGAATCTTTAGCAGGATGCATTGTCAAATCTGCTAAGCACTATCTTTGTGGTTTCTATCCTGGGGTATCATGCATGCAATGTCTTTCTTTTCTTGAAATGGAAAATAAATCACCTAAATTTTCTTTAAATTGTTTTTGTTTTGTTTTGAGACAAAGTCTTGTTCTGCTGCCCAGGCTGGAATGCAGTGGCATGAACAGAGTTCACTGCAGCCTTGACCTGTTGGGCCCAAGGGGTCCTCCCACCTCAGTCCCCCAGCTAGCTGGGACTACAGTCATGTGCTACCATGCTCAGTTATTTATTATTTTATTTTTGTAGAGATGGGGTCTTGCTATGTTGCCCAGGCTTCTTTTGAACATTTTTTTTTTTTTTTGGCAAATCCCAGGAAAAGCAAGGATTAGAAATGTTTACTACCACATTATTGGGATTTTTAAAAAATAAAAGCAGAGTTTTAACTTACTTGATATAACACATCCAAATAGCTATGTGGAAATGGCCCAGGAAATATGGTTGATGCTGGAGGCACCCATTCCTCTCACTGGGTCTCAATGTGTGCCCTCCTCCACCACCTACCCAGCTGTACCATTGTACCTCAGGAACATGTAGAATGTGCAGCCTCTGGAGTCCCCCCTAGACCCACTGAGTCAGCTCCACAGGTCGGGCCTACCCCCGTGTGCTAACATGCCCTCCAGAGGATGCTCACAGCCTCTGCTCTGCTACCCAGAGCTGCCTCCTTGACCCCTGGCCTCAGGTGCTTTTCCCCAGCAGTTTCCAGTGGATTCATCCTCACATCCTGTTCCTGTCATTAGGGACACACCTACTGGGATGAAGGTATTCTGGTGACAGCTCATTTGCTATTCACACAGGCACACACAGACTCACACGGGTGTTCAAAGGTCTCTTTACCTAGACGCACTGACATTACTATCCTTAGAACTGGGTGGAGTTCAGAGAGATACAGTTAGAGCACAGGTTACACGTTGTGTCAGATTTCACAGTTCCCTCTGCTTTGGGCATCCCAGGCTCTCTAAGAGGAAGCAGGTGCTGCTGCCAATGCCAAAAAGCCTCTGTGGGTGAGATAGTTCCATGTCGAATATAAAAGGCCAAATGTGGTAAAACCTCCAATACTTATTGCATAAATCCTCCCTAAATGGGATGGAGAGAGCAGTGCAACAATCTTTCTTCAGGAGAAACTATAGGTGATGCTTTTAAACATTATTTACTATCCTTGAATGTTTTTGAAACATGCTTAAATATCTTATATGCCTGTTTTATATGTGCATATGGGGAAATATACAATATAATATTCACCGAGGCAAAGAATTGGGGACATGATCAAGGAGATATTTTTAATACTTCAACAGATCATTTTTTGTGGCTCTTTAGCTTGGGACCTTGTGCTGTGAGAGGCACAAGTTTCTGTGTTCAAGAGAACACTTTTTTTTTTTTTTTTTTTTGAGATAGAGTCTTGCTCTGTCACCCAAGCTGGAGTGCAATGGTGCAATCTCAGCTCACTGCAACCTCCATCTCCCGGGTTTAAGCGATTCTCCTGCCTCAGCCTCCTGAGTAGCTGGGATTACAGGCTACCATCACCATGCCCAGTTAATTTTTGTATTTTTAGTAGAGATGGGGTTTTGCCATGTTGGCCGGTCTGGTCTCGAACTCCTGACCTCAGATGATCTGCCTGCCTTGGCCTCCCAAAGTGCTGGGATTACAGGCATGAGCCACTGCACCAGGCCCAAGAGTACACTTACTTGCATGAAGGAGCAGTGAATGAAACCTGCTAAGGCCCCCAGCATGCACTGCTTGGCAGCACTCATCTTCCTTGGAGCTGAATCTTCTAGCAGGTTTCTGCTTCATTTAGAGCCGTCAATACCTCAATTAGTGTCTGTTCGTCTCCCCTGGGAGGGACCTTTACACATGTCTCTTCATGAGCCTCTGAACTTTAAAAACCCCCTGAGAGTTGCTGGGTCATAAAATACCTCCTGATTAACAGTGCTGTTTGCCAACAATTCCTTGCTCCTTCCATTTCCCCCTTCTTAAAGATGTATCAACTGACATAAACAGAAGACACAGAAGGGGTGCAGCCTGCCAACAGTTACATGGAATGTATTCCTGCAAATGTGCCATGCATCTGTTTACCCATTTCACTGCTGGATGCAGGGCTCATAAGCCCATAACACAAAGCAGGAAAAAGCACTGGTTTTAGTTGCACATGTGACTGTGTGTGTGCATGTGCAGACACACTTGCTTGTGTTGGCATTTACTCGAAAGCTAGGATACGACCTCCATCTCTTTGTATCATTAATACTACAGTTCAGTTACATGAGAAGAATCTCGCCCCCACTTTGAATTATGAAAGTAAAGGCGCTGGTTCTGGCTTCCACAGGCTGGGTGTATTCCTTATTCTTTCAGAAGAGGTGCTTTTCTATCTGCAAAACCATTGGTGTTATTTTGTATCTCCATAGCCTCTCTAAGTCAGTTGTCCCTTCCACAAACCTATAAAATAGGCCAAGGTTATAGAGACCATCTGAGAACTTTAAGGTTTTCCTTTATGAGAACGTTCTTAAATAAGTAAGAAATATATAGTTGTATATTTATTTTCTAATAAACATAATAAAAATGCATCATCTTGGCTTTCACACAAAATTTGGGAGAAAGGTTTCAAGATAATTAAAAGTCTTTAGGAGCCATTGCCCTCTAGTCTTCCAGCAGACACCCAGGCAGGTATGAACATAAACACACATCCACATCCACGCAAACACATGCACACAGGCACACACAAAAGAATGAATGTACATGCATAGAATTGCACACGTGCTCACACAGGCACATTCATGGGTACATGTGTGTGCACACACGCACACAAATATGGGCCCTACAATTAATCTGTAGCAGCAATCTCTTTGAAAACACCACTGGGAACCCTATTCTTGGAAAGTAAGCAGACCATCACCCCATTCTCTTCAAAACAAGTTAACAAAAGTTAGCACTTAAAACACCCCTGTTTTCCTTTTATCTTTTACCTATGTTGTTAATATTCTACGTGATATGATGGACACAACCGTTATATTATTTATCAAATTCATTAATATTTCATTTAAAACCTACATAAGTGAAATTTACTTTTAAACATATTTTATTTATTGCTCAACCTTTATAAAAACCACATTAAATATTTAAAATTTTTAAATCTGTATGATCCCATTATCTTAACACTTTTTTTCTTACAATCCTTGCCTATACATATATATGAAAAGCTCTTTAGCCGTACAGGAATGTACAATGTAATTAGAAAACCAAGTCATGAACACAAATATTAACTAGAAAAAAAACTAACCTTATAAGCACTTTATAATCTACAAAGGTCTTTGCATGTATTTAATTGTGTTGCTTCTCTCTATTGAGGTGGGCATCACCCTTGCACCCATTTGATAGATGATTCAGAACATAAATACCCACCTAATTTTATAGCTTATCAATTGGCAGAGCCAAAAAACCTCAAAGTTAGCTCTGCTGATTCCAAAGCCTGAGCTGCTTCTGCAATATGCACGCAGGGTACTAGAAAACAAGGCTCTGGGTGACGGGTAGGGGAGGGATGCCACAAAGAACAGATGTAAAGCAGCCCCCAGGTGGGGGATGATTCAGACAGGTTGTGGGACCCCAGAGTGTGCATTTCTAGCATGTTCCCAGGTGATGCTGGTTCAGGGCTGTATAATAACTCTGTGTATAAAAGGAAAGAAACAACAGGTACTATACATGTATGGTAGATATCTGCAAACATAAGGTGGAAGGAAAGAAGCCAGACACAAATGAATGCAGAAAGGTTGATGGTATTTTACATACAGTTCAAAAGCAGCCAAGGATGTACCAAGTTGTTCATGCATCCATACCCAGGTGGGAAACAGATGGGCTGCATGGTTTAAAATTCTGGCTCCGCTCCTCTCTACCTGTGTGATCTTGAACAAGCCATTTAGCCTCTCTGTGCCTCAATTTTTATACTCATATTTACAAAACCTCCTTCCTAGGATTGCTGTAGGTATTAAAAGCTAATACATTTCTCAGCAGAGAACTTAATGCATATTAGCTATAATTATCATCCTCATTATTACACCAGATGTTTTTAAAAGGGCATTTATGTCCTTGATACTAGCATAGTCAAATGAAAAAGGAATGAAATAAATGATACAATCCAGATAACCAAATAAAAAAACCATATGGGCATCACATGCAAGCCAATGGAATCATGCCACTAATGCTTGAATGAAGAGGCACAGTGGAAAATGAATATTAACACAGATGAAGATCACATGGTCAGAGTGGTTTCAAGGAAAAGGTGAAACTTTAGGAATCAGAAATATGGTGGAGATTATAACGTTGAAGGAAGGATCAAAATACTGGGCGTTGGCCCATTTTGGACAAGAATCTTCAGGTAGAGGAGATCCCTGGGACACCCTAAAGAGCTATTAGCTTGTAATCTCTACAGCAACCCTAGGAGGGGGTGCTGTAATTATAGGTACAGAAATTGAGGCACAGAGAGGCCGAAGGACTTGTTCAAGGAGATAACCAGCCCAGCTTCCAGAAGACACAGCACACTGAACGGCTGGGAGCCACAGGCAGTGTGCTGTGCAGTGGGTGATGGAGACAAGACATGGTAGAATTCACCACCCCATTGAGTGCTAATGGGGATGATGATTTATCTTCTCTGTTTCTCCATGAAAAACAGCTGTACATAAAGCAGCTGCTCAAAAGTTAGAACATGGCTTCAGACATGACAACTCTGTGTCTGTCCCCAAGCCACATGGAAACTGCTTGCCTTCTGGGAAATGCATCTGAATATAAGAGTGAAGGGTGGCGGGGGTGGAATCCACCCCCCAGCTCCCACACAGGGTTGTTGGCAGGCTATTGGCCCAAGACTTGTCCTTCTCATGGTCCTCTCCATAGGCCACATGGGTATCCTGGTGATATCATGGCAGGCTTCCCTGGAGCAAGTGATCAGACAGAAAGAGAGAGAACTGGGGCACCCAAGTAGAAGGTAGAAGCTACAGTCCTTTTATAATCTGGTCTCAGAGTGATAAAATGTGGAGAGTTTGAATTCCAGGAGATGAGATTACCACAGGTCACCTTAAAAACTGGCTAACCCATGGCTCATAATATATTTTTGCTGCAATTAATATCCTGGACAGCACTTACCCAATTTTTCAGGATGACATGATCTATTTTCTTCCTTGTTTCTTTATTTTTTTACTATCATTGATGGCAGGAAATCAAAATCTATTTACTATTTTCCTTTTTCTACATAATTATTAAGAAGTTTTCTGCTGAGTACAATGGCTCATGCTTATAATCCCAGCAATTTGGGAGGCCGAAGCAGGCGGATCACCTGAGATTGGGAGTTTGAAACCAACCTGACCAACATGGAGAAACCCCGTCTCTACTAAAAATACAAAATCAGCCAGGCATGGTGGAGCATGCCTGTAATCCCAGCTACTTGGGAAGCTGAGGCAGGAGAATTGCTTGAACCAGGGAGGCAGAGGTTGCAGCGAGCTGAGATCATGCCACTGCACTCCAGCTTGGTCAACAAGAGTGAAACTCCGTCTAATAAATAAATAAATAAGAAGCTTTCTTATTGGGCAAAATATAGTACCTATGTACAGAACCAGACAGATGGAAAAAAAAAAAGAAAGAAATGGCCAGCCTGCCTCCATGCGAGTTAGAGGAAAATACTGTTTTTGATATCTTTTGGTTAATATTCATACTTGTCTTAAAAAATAAATCAACTTTCTTCCAATAATGTGACTTGAAATAACTTCAGAGTGAATGTAATATGAACCCTAAATGTTCTTCGTCTTTCCCCTGACACATTCAATCATGTCATAAGGGCCTGGAAAAGCTGCCAGGAAGTGGAGATGTTGTCATTCTTGTTCAAGCTTAGCATCAAATATGACCCACTCCAGCTTGGAAACATGAATTTGATTAACGGTTATAATCTAAGTAACTTCATTATGTAAGCATAATAACCCAGCTGAGGAGATATTTTAGTATGTGCTAAGAATTTGTTAATTCCTGGCTGGAAAAATCATTTTCTTTATAAGGATTAGAGCTGCCCAGTAGGCAGCCTCACTTGCCGAAATCTTATGAACAATAAGTATTTGGACAGGAGAAATTTTTGATTCTGCAGCAGGGATAATCACACTTGGTGTTTCTGTGGGGCCATTCTTCCAACACCCTCAGAGGGTTCCTCTAACATAATCTCATTAATCCTCATTACAGCCTTAGGAGGCGGCAGGTCTCATTGTTCTTACAGATGAGGAAACGGAGATGAAACTGAGAGGCAGAGACCACAAACAGGGAAAATACTGCTTGGCCTTTGAATGGCTTGAGAAGAAACAGGCAAAAAGACTCAAGCCATTTTCTCTAGCAAAGTTCTACAGACTCTAAAAAATAATGTTTT